>NC_000022.11:37345927-37497442 GCF_000001405.40 Homo sapiens | reverse complement strand
AAGTTGGAGTGCTCTGTGGCACGCAGGCTCCACTGCACCGTGTGCCCAGGTCCAGGGGAGAGGCTGCTTGTGACTTGAGATTTGAAGGATGATCAGCATTTCCCAGGTGGAGAAGGCAAGGAAGAGGGCACAGAAGATGGAGAGGCCTGGGGGTGGGAGTCATGGCATACTTGGGAAATGAAATCACTGTGGTTTTCCAAGAATGCTGAACTGAATCCAAGTACTGATTGGACTCCAATTCTCATCTCCTTTCTCCCTTCTCAGGTCTCTGGCTATTCGGGTGTCTGGCCGGAGCCCCCCAGGGGGCCCAGAGCCGCAGGACAAGGGACCAGATGGACTGTCGTTTTATGGGGACAGATGGTCTGGGGCTGTGGTGCGCAGGGTGCTGTCTGGGCCTGGGTCCGCCAGGATGGAACCAAGAGAGGTGAGGCCCTGCCTCCTGAGCTGGGGGGGTAGGGTCAGTGCTTTTGCCCAGGCTGGACATCCCTTAATTTGGTGGATCAAGATCACCGGGCAGAGCTTCTGGGGATTGGTCAAAGCCGAAGCGGGCTCAGTGATTAGCTGTGGTTGCCTGCTCAGCCAGGCTTAATTGAAGTCTGATTGGGCAGGGACTGGGAGGTGGAGCCAACTGACAGCACGTTACATTCCTGCGCTTCAAGTCGAGAAAGACCTGGATGAGCTGGGCGGGTTGGGGAGTCCTGTGGATGGGGGCGTCCTGTGGATGGGGACGGGTCTGACTGGGCTGGGCATGGCAGTTTCTGAGGGGGCGCTATCTGAACTGTGAGGCATGAAACACCCCCACACCTGGTCTTCCTCCAGCCCCTGGGCTGCTCTACTCTCAGAGGCTCACTTCTTTCCCTCCCTGCCTGGGTTTTCTCCCAGCAAAGGGTGGAAGCTGCTGGTCTGGAGGGGGCGTGCCTGGAAGCCGAGGCCCAGCAGAGAACCTTGCTCTGGAATCAGGGGTCCACACTCCCCTCCCTGATGGACTCGAAGGGTAAGTCTGGCTTGGGAGTCGGAGCTGTTGGCCCCAGAGGGGTCCTCTAACCCGTGGTGCATGGGGTGGGGAGGGACCAAGGACCTGAGAAGGGACCAGCCTTGCCCCAATTGCCCTTCTCCTGGCTCCCCGCCTGCTGATGCCTCCTTCTGTCTGTCCTTGTGCCCTTTCTCTATGCCTCCCTCTGTAAGCAGCTTACAGTGAAAGGAGCACTACATTAGGAGTCCAGAGACCTGGGTTTGAGTCCTGGCTCTGTTTCTAGAAGGCACTGGCCTTGGGCAAGTCCCTGCCCCCTCTGGACCTAAGTCATTCTAAGAAGGTGAAGGTCGGGTCCTGGGAACTCAGGCCTCGAGAGGGCCATGTCTTTGGCCCCACCAAGGCCGATCCTGGACCTCACCATCCTCCTCTTGTCCTCCTTGCTGCCCCCTGCCCCATCCATGCCCAGCCTGCCAGTCCTTCCACGAGGCCCTAGAAGCCTGGGCAAAGGGACCAGGTGCCGAGCCCTTCTACATTCGTGCCAACCTCACCTTGCCTGAGAGGGCAGATCCCCATGCCCTTTGCGTGAAAGCCCAAGAGATCCTTCGACTGGTGGACTCGGCATACAAGCGGAGGCAGGAATGGTTCTGCACCCGGGTTGACCCCCTCACTCTGCGGGACCTGGACCGGGGCACCGTGCCCAATTATCAGAGGTGACGCAGAGCCAGGAGCTGGGGATGGGGTCCCCCTGGGAGCCAGGGCTCAGATGGGGGTGCTCTCCCTCCACCTGCATTCCCTCACCATCCTCTGGGACAGGGCGGGGGGTTCGAGGAGAAATGAGGAGCTTTCCTTCTTTCTACACACATGATGTCACTCCCTCCCACAGAGCCCAGCAGCTCCTAGAAGTTCAGGAGAAATGCCTGCCCTCCAGCCGGCACCGAGGCCCCCGCAGTAATGTGAGCACGGCTGGGCAGGTAGTGGGTGGGGGGCCCCAAGGGTGGGGTCCAAAAGGGAGCTAGCAGGCTCTGTTCTCTGGCAACCTAGGAAGACACTCCCTCCCTCCTTCCCTGGTGATTTAATTGGTCATCTACTATGTGCCCAGCAAACAGAACAGCAGAGCTCACCGTCCAGGGTAGTTTAGAGATGAAATGAGGTAAAGCGTGCCTAGTATGCAGGAGTACCCCTGGTACATAATAAGCATTTGACAGGCTGGGCACAGTGGCTCACGCCTGTAATCCCAGCACTTTGGGAGGCCGAGGTGGGCGGATCACAAGGTCAGGAGATCGAGACCATCCTGGCTAACACGGTGAAACCCCGTCTCTACTGAAAATACAAAAACAAAATTAGCCGGGCGTGGTGGCGGGTGCCTGTAGTCTCAGCTACTTGGGAGGCTGAGGCGGGAGAATGAAGTGAACCCGGGAGGCGGAGCTTGCAGTGAGCCAAGATCGCGCCACTGCACTCCAGCCTGGGCCACAGGGCAAGACTCCGTTTCAAAAAAAAAAACAAAAAAAACAAACCAGCAGTCATGTCCCCTTTTCCAATGCCTGGATGGTGGCTGGGCTTCGTGGCCAGCGCTGCTGTGCACATGGGCAAGTGAGGCTCAGAGCCATCAGATAAAGGAAGAGCGAGGGCCCCAGCCAGGCAGCCTGCATTCGACCCCAGCTCTGCCACCTATCAGCTGTGTGACTTTGGACAATCACCTGAACCTTCCTTGAGGCTTGTTTCCTCATCTGTAAAGTGCGGGGGTTGTACTGCCTGTCAGGCTGTGCGTGGCAGGAGATGACTTCCGTGAGTTAGTGCCCCTCAGGGGCTTAGTGAGTGTCTGTCATGTTGTAGGCATTTGAGACCTGTCAGGTATTGGTAAAATCAGTGCCATCTTTATTGGTTTCATTAATTTTTCTACCAAGGTCACATTGCTAATTCATTGGAAGAGACCCTAAAGTTTGCCTCGTATGTGACATTTGGTTCCTCTTGGTCTCTGGGCCTCAGTCTCCCCATCTGTAGCTTGGGGGGTATACCTAAGGCTCCTCCACCAGGCTCAGACGGGCTGGCTTCCCGGGGGCCACAGGGATGGCTGCTCTCATCTGCCTGGGGGACTGTGCTGGGCTGGGGAGGGGCAGGGGAGGGCCTGGTGGAGAAGGACATCTTTGCTGACCCAGGCTCTTCTGGCAAGCCTGGACCACAGTGGCAGTGGGGCCCGCTGTGCCAGGGGTCCCGTTTCCTCCTCTCCCTGAGGGGGCGGGGCTGAGCTCTCAGATGCTCCTCTGTCCCTGCACCCTCCCAGCTGAAGAAGAGAGCCCTGGACCAGCTGCGGCTGGTGAGGCCCAAGCCCGTGGGGGCGCCTGCAGGGGACTCCCCGGATCAGCTGCTGCTGGAGCCCTGTGCAGGTGAGTGCGCGGGGGCAAAGCTGTATCCCGTGTTGCTCCCATTGTCCAGGGATGTGTGCAGCTGAGTGTCCTTTAGCTTGGGTGGCCTCTTTGGCCTGGAAGGGCCTGTTGTGAGGGTTCCAACAGGAGTGGGGGTCATGCTGGGGGCCTGAGAGACAAGACCACCCCACCTGCCATGGTGATTGCCAAGGTTGAGGGAGACCCTGCGGGGAGGTGCATGCAGACGTGGCTGTGACTGTGGGTTTGCACACATACTGGCTTGTTCTTTTCTGGCAGAGTGTGTGTAGTGGTGCTTCTCACACGTGTGTGGTGGCAGGTGCTGTGAGGACCCAGGGGGGTTCCCGGAGGCAGTAGGGTGAGGCCTTAGGCCAGACAGGTAGAAGGGGCTGGGGGAGCTCAGATGAGGGAGTAGCAAATCTGGGGCAAGAGGAGCGGGTAGTTAGGGAAGACTTCCTGGAAGAGAGGGAGTTTCCGCGGGGGCCTTCAAAGTTAAAGAGGAGTTCGTTCCAGGCAGAAGGCACAGAGGCATGGCTGTGTGTGGTGTGCTTGGAGGGTGTTGGGGACAGCAGGTGAGTATTGAGTACCAGCTCTGTCAGGCATTGGGGACGTGACTGTCCCTGCCCTCATGGAGCTTGCTGTCTAATTAGGGGGTAGAGAGTCAGATAATCCCACCTATGAACACAATGAGAGAGTGTGAGGTGTGCAGTGGAGAACTGGGGGCCGTGGGGCACATGCCAGGGGCCCTGATGTCTGGGGACCAGGGAAGGTGTGACCTAGGCTCTGAAGGGAGGGCAAGGGTTAACTGGGCTGAGTGGTGCAGGGCTGGGGCTTTGGGCAGCCCCAGGGCATGCAAAGGCCCTGTGGTTGGACGCAGCTGAAGGGAGAGTGGAGGCTGGTGGTGTGGGGTCAGTGGCTGGCAGCCTCCCCAGGCTCTCAGGCAGGACTGTGTCACCCACGTGGGGGATGTGGCTTTTATTCCTGAGAATCTGGGAAGTCACTGGTGTGTTGAAAGCAGGGGAGTTAACATGATCTGATTTGCTTTTTAAAGCCTCTCTGGCTGCTGGATGGAGAATGACCCGTAGGGGGCAGGGATGAGGCAGAGAATCAGGGAGGAGCCTACTGCCACCGTCGGTCCTACTAAGGGTGTGTGTGTGTGCATGTGTAGGAGGAGCAGCAGCAGGACTTAGGAAGGGATGGGTGGCGGGGTGGGTTTTGGGGTATCGACGAGCTGGTATGCTGCCTGCCTGTGCCCTTATCTCTTTTGCGCCCCTCCCCTGCCACAGAGCCGGAGCGGAGCCTCAGACCCTACAGTTTGGTGCGGCCGCTACTGGTGTCTGCCCTGCGGCCCGTGGTGCTGTTGCCTGAGTGCCTGGCGCCCCGGCTCATCCGTAACCTGCTAGACCTGCCCAGCTCCCGGCTGGACTTCCAAGTGTGCCCAGCGGGTGAGACTATGTGCCGGGGAGGGGAGGCTGGGTGCCCCTCTGGGCAGCCGGGCCCATGGATCCTTCATCTCTCCCTCTCCACTCCCTGTGCAGAAAGCCTCTCTGGGGAGGAACTGTGCCCATCCTCAGCGCCTGGAGCCCCCAAGGCTCAGCCTGCCACCCCTGGGCTAGGCAGCAGGATCCGGGCCATCCAGGAGTCTGTTGGGAAGGTGGGTGCTGGGGGCTGGCCTGGGGTGCTCACAGAGGTGGCCCAGAGCGGGTGCTGCTGTTCTGGGCTTGAGCGCCAGCGTCTGAGCGCGGGCCATGCTCTGCTGCTCACTGGCAGGGCGGCCCTGGCCAAGTCCTTTCCCTCCTGTGGCCTTCAGTTTCCTCACCTGTTGCCTGGGTGGGTGGGGGCAGTTGACTGCATGTGGGCCCCCCTTGAGGTGTTTGGCTGACACAGCTCACCTACACATCCTTATCCTTGAACTTGCCACTATCCTGGGAGCTGGCAGTCGGCTATAAGGTGGCGGGTGGTGGGTGGGTTTGGGTCAGCTCCATCCTCCGGGTGGGGAGGCCTAGGTCCTGAGGGGGAGGTCTGTATCTCCAGGTTGCCCCATGAGCCCAGGCCTCTTGTCTGTACTTTTGGGCTCCTTCCTCGTTGCCAGGGTCCCTCTGGGTGGGGAGGCAGGACTTGCATCTGGGAAGGCGGTGATAGGGGACCCGTCTGGGGGCAGCGCATGGGAGGCTGATGTCTGTGGCCCAGGAGTACATTGTAGCCTCGATCCTCCAAGCAGAAGCACTGCCTGCTGGAGCTGGGTGCTCGGGGTGTGCGGGAGCTGGTGCAGAACGAGATCTACCCCATCGTCATCCACGTGGAGGTGACTGAGAAGAATGTCCGGGAAGTCAGGTGAGGTGGGTGGGTGGGGCAGTGGGCAGGGCACTCGGACCTGAGAGCTTCCTCCTTGAGGATGCCTCTCTCCCTCCCCCCTCTCTCTCCCTCCCCCTCTTTCTCCCTCCCCCTCTCTCTCCTTCCCCCTCTCTCCCTCCCCCTCCCCCCTCCTTCTCCCCCTCTCTCTCCCTCCCCCCTCCCTCCCCCGTCTCTCCCTCCCCTTCTCTGTCTCTCTCTCTCCATCTCCATCTGCCATCTGTCTCTCTTTGGTTGTCCATCTTCTCTCTCTGACTCTTCCCCCTTTGTCTGTCCCTCTCTCCCTGTCTCTCTGTCTGTCTTGGTCCCCCACTTTGACCGCTGCTCACTCTTCTCTCGGCAGGGGTCTGCTGGGCCGGCCGGGCTGGCGGGACTCAGAGCTGCTGCGGCAGTGCCGTGGCTCAGAGCAGGTGCTCTGGGGGCTGCCCTGCTCCTGGGTGCAGGTGCCCGCCCATGAGTGGGGACACGCAGAGGAGCTGGCCAAGGTGGTGCGCGGCCGCATCCTGCAGGAGCAGGCCCGCCTCGTGTGGGTGGAGTGCGGCAGCAGCAGAGGCTGCCCCAGCAGCAGTGAGGCCTGAGGCTCATCTGATACCTGCACCTTCTCCCCAAGCCAGCGTGGACCCTGGTGTCTATGGTGAAGCTGGGCCCTCCCACCCTGAGCCTTCCTAGACCCTTGGACTCTCAGATGCAGGGCCCTTGGCTCTGGCCTCTCACCCCCAAGGCTGTCTCTGGCCCTGCCGAGCCTATGGGAGTCCCGGGACAGAGTGCCCACTCCCCTCTACTTGCTGCTCTGGGCCTCCCCACCTTTCCTGGGGTCTCCACATTCCCACTAGTGGGTCTTATGTGTGTCTGTGTCTTCTCCTTAAACACTCGCCCTGGAGTCTGTTCTCACACCTGTGCGCAGGTTTGCACACTCAAGTTCTCATGGGCAGGCTCAGGTCTGTCCCGCTGCCCTGGGCACGAGGTCTCCTGAGGACCTGGGCCTGTTCTGCTCCTAGGAGACCTGAGCCCGTTACCGCGTGACTCCCACCATCCAGCTCGCGCTCCTCGTGGATTCAGCCATGCATGGACTGGGGTGTTCCCTGGCCCATGGTCACCTGTGCCCCTCGTGTCTCCTCACATGGGTGTCTGTGGTTCTCTCCTGTGTAAATGTCACGCCCCACCCCTGTTTCATGTGGGCACTAACACGTGTGCGTTCCTGGCGGGCACACTCAGGACCGTGCCTCACAGGGCCCACTCCCTGCCTATGCCTCCCTCTTGGGGGGCCGAGGAGGGCGGCTGCTCTGTCATGAGAATGTACGGCCCGTGGATGATTAACGGGCCTTTTTCACTTAGAAGCTGCACATTATGGAGCATTAAACACTTTTGTCATAGATGCTGGTGGCCTTCTGCTTGCTTGTATCCCTGGCCTGGGTCCCCATCACTCTCCTCATTTGTCTCCCAGCTCAGGCGGATACCACCTTTCAGGTCCCCGCTTGCCTGTCAGGAGGGTCGGATTTCCCGCCTGCCTCTTCCCAGAGCCGCCCGCCATCTGTGCTGGCGTCACCTTACCTGCCCCTGAATGACCAGAGGAGGGCCCCACAGATGGGCCACCCCAACGCTCAGCCCTGCCCACAGCTGATCATCAGAGGAGTGTCCCCTGGAGCAGGGCACCAAAACTGGCAGGGTGTGGCCTCCGACTGAAGGGGCCTGGCTGCTGAGCCCAGGAGCTCAAGAGCAAACCCTTGGTATGCACGCAGGTTCCTGAGACAGCTCTACTGGAGAGAGGATGGTTGCTCCCACTGGGAGCAATCCAGGCAGCCTTACTGGAAGAAGTGCCACTTGAGCTTGGGAGTTGGGATTCCTTTCTTCAGGAACCACTTATTGGACCTACGTGTCCAAGTGCAGGTGACTGTCCTCAGCCACAGTGATGAGGCTGGGCAGGTCCCTGGGGCTTGGGGTTGTGGGTGTACTAACTAGGTAGGGTAGCCTCAAGGGCGAAAGCTCAGAGGCAGCACATGGGTTGGATCTGGCCACCTTGGATGGGGTCGGAAATGAGGTTGGGAAGGGCAAGTCCAGGGGTGGGGTTGGGAGCGCAAAGGAGCTTGGGCTGTGCCCTGGAGGCTGTGGGAGCCTCTCAGGATGTGGGAGCAGGGCTATGGGAGCTCTGGTTTGGAGTTGACTTAGAGAGGGCTGAGGCCAATTGGAGTAGGGGGTGGGGGGCAGGGGCAGTGGAGGAGAGAGGAGCAGACAGGAAGGAGGGGATCTGTGGCCTCCAGGGGTGGGTCTGGATCTCCATGTTTGACAAGAAAAATGCTTAAGAAGGGGTCAGGGCTGGGGATTTGGGGTGGTGGGTGGAGAAGGGAATGGAGAAGCTGGGAGAGGGGATTGGGGTGTGGATCAGGGGGCCACAGCCCCATCTTTAGTGGGAAGAGACAAGGAGTGGGTGTAGGGGAGAGGTGGTGAGGGTCTCAGAGACTGGACCACGCAGGATGACGGTGCTTGGGTATGAGGCCAGGGTGGACGGTGGGCCCAGGCTGTCCCGGGAACCCAGAGAGGCTTTCCCAGGATGGAGTGCAGGGTGCGCAGGGCACTGTAGTTTGGTTGAAACCCAAAGCTCTGGTCAGCCAGGAGACCCTGGCAACTCGGGTGGCCTCTCTGGGCCCAGGGCCCTCCCCTGTGGAGTGGAGGCCCGGATGGTGGAGTGAGCATGGAGGTACGGATTGGCCACGGCTAGGTGAGCACGTGTGGCTGGGGCTGAGCCATTGCTTGGGAAAAGGTCTTCCCACTCTCTACGACAGGGTGTCTTTGACAAGGTGCAGATTGGACTTGGAGGCCTGCCAGTCTGTCACCACTGGGGTAGGGGCTGGGGAGCTGGACCCTGAGTGGCAAAGGCGGTGCCCTGGGGGAAGGGCAGCCTCCCTGCATGGGAATCAGCGGCAATGCCGCTTTCTACTCCAGGCCTTCCCAGGTGTTGACTCTCCCATCCCCCCAGCCACATCCTCCCCACCGCGGGCAGTGGCAGTGGCCTTTCAGTTTACCCTTAGCTGTGCTCCTCTGCTCATGTGGCCCCTGCCTGGGCTGCTCTCCCTGCCTGAATCTTCCTGATCTTTGAAGCCTGGCTGAGATATTACGTATCTCCATGAAACCCACCACCAGGTCCTCCCAGCCCTTGGGACTTCTCCTGGCCCATGCCATATTCTGCCTTGTGGTGGGACGAGGGTGTCTGTGTGGCTGTCTCTCGATGTCTGTGGCTTCCTGGGCATGGAAACTGGGCTGTGTGCATTTGGGTACATGAACCTCCCCCTGCCCCACAGTGAGCCTGGCCCAGTGCTTGGCCTGGGGAAAGGCAGGGGCCTGTGACTTGGCTGCCTTTGCCTGTTCCCCGTGTCAAGCATCCTTTCTGTGGGGTGGAGAAGCCCACTCATCCTGTAATCGTCACCAAGTCATATTTTTGTCCCCATTTTAGAAATGATGAAGGTAACTTTCCTAGAGTCATACAGCCAGTGAGTGGCCCAGTTGGGAATTTTTTTTTTTGAGATGGAGTTTCACTCTTGTTGCCTAGGCTGGAGTGCAATGGCGCCATCTCGGCTCACTGCAACCTCTGCCTCCCGGGTTCAAGTGATTCTCCTGCCTCAGCCTCCCTAGTAGCTGGGATTACAGGTGCCTGCCACAATGCCTAGCTAATTTTTGTATTTTTGGTAGAGACGGGGTTTCACCATGTTGGCCAGGCTGGTCTTGAACTCCTGACCTCAAGTGATCTGCCTGCCTTGGCCTCCCAAAGTGCTGGGAGTACAGGCGTGAGCCATGGCGCCCAGCCCCCAGTCAGGATTTAAACCTGGTCTGTGGGGTACAGAGTCTGGGATCATCACCAAGGCTGGCATCATCACCATTCTGAGAATATGGCCTGTGAAGGGGCCTGGCTGGGGGCTGGCCCATGAGAAGGTCATTCAAAGGGTTGGTTTTCCCTTCCTCTCCCCCAGCTGTCCTCATGCAGGGTTGAGCCCGGCAGGGCCACTTCCCTTTGCCAGCCACCTGGTACTTTGTTGTGTTGAATTAACATTGATTGAGTTCTTGTCTGCCGGTCACTGTTCTAGGCACTGGGGATTAGGGACTCAGTGATCAAAAAATAAATCCTGCCCTGATATTCTCATGAGGAGGACAGAAACTTAGTTAAACATACAGAATGTTGGAAGATGAAAAGTGTGATGAAGAAAACAGTGAAGTGGCTTGAGAGGGACAGGCCTGGGGGGCTGGGAAGGAGGCGGCGAGGGGTTGCAATGTTAATAACGTGGTCAGGGAAGGCCTCACAGAGACGGTGACCTTTGTGTAAAGACCAGAAGGGAGTGGGGGAGTGAGACGTGCAGGTCTCTAGGGAGGGGCCCAGGTGGGAACAGCAAGTGCCAAGGTCCTGTGGCGGCCAGGTGCCTGGGCCAGCGAGGGTCCCAGGTTCTGGAGTGGAGCAGGGTGAGTAGCAGGAGATGGGGTGGGAGTAACTTGGGAGCCAGCTCACGCAGGGCCTTGTGGGCTGCTGTGTGCGTTTTGGCTTTTGTTCTGAAGAAAATGGGAGCCAGTGCAGGCTCTGAGTGGAGGAGGGAGGAGGTGTGAGTGAGCTTGTGCGAAACAAGATGGAGGTGGTGGCTGGAGAAGGCCCTCTGTCTGTCCACTGGTCAGGTGCTGGGAGAGAGGCAGCTCCAGAGACTGCGGAGTGAGGTCGGGTATGGGCTGGGGCACAGCTGGACAGGTGCCCTCAGGGGACCTCCTGTGAACTAGATGAGGAACAGAGACCTGGGTTCTGCCAGCTCTGCGGCTGAGTTGCTGGATCGTTTTTGCTCATTCTGTGCCTTTGTGCCTTATGTCTTCAGCTATAAACTGGGAACGACAGTCCCAGTGCTGTTGTGAAGACCTCAGGAACTGAGCGAACAACTGTGGGAGCCCCAGAGGTTAAGAGGTTATCACGGAAGGCTTCCTGGAGGAGGGAACCCTTAAGCTTTGAAGTCCAGATAGAACTCAGCCTAGTGGAGGGAATGTGGGTGAGGCTGGTGGAATATGGGAGAGCATCCCGGAGGAAACCTGTGAGCAAAAGCTGGGGGCTGGGTGAAGCAGGACACCAAAGTAATGGGTGTTGAATGGGCCGAGCTGACAGCTCTCTGGGGGAGTGGACGGTGCTGGAGGACACTCCCTTCCACCGGGCACGGAGGGTTTGTTGTGACTTCCTCCCACCGCAGCAGCTGGCAGAGCCGGGGCTGCCCTTTCTGCTGGTGCCTCCTTTCAGCCGCCTCTGTCTGGGGTTCCCTTCGTCTGGCCCCGCCCCTCGGGCTAAGCGGGGCGGGGCCAGGCGGTCCCGGAGGCTGCGGCAGGCCGGACAGCGGGAGCAGGTGGAGGACTGGCGGCGGTCGAGATCGTGCTGCCATGGCTCAGCCTCTGGGTCCAGAGCCTCAGCTCCTACCTCTTCCCTCCTTGCCAGCCCCTGATGCCTGCCAGACTTTTGCCTCTGCTGGAGCCCCTGCCTGACCAGCTTCCCCTCCCTGTCTGGTTGGGATTTGGGGGCTGAGCTGTCTGGGGTCCCAGGGCCAACCAATGCAGTGCCGGCTCCCGCGGGGCCTGGCTGGAGCCCTCCTCACCCTCCTGTGCATGGGGCTCCTGTGTCTGCGGTACCACTTGAACCTGTCCCCGCAGCGGGTACAAGGGACCCCCGAGCTGAGCCAGCCGAACCCGGGGCCCCCTAAGCTACAGCTACACGATGTCTTCATTGCAGTGAAGACGACCCGGGCTTTCCACCGCTTGCGCCTGGAGCTGCTGCTTGACACGTGGGTTTCCAGGACCAGGGAACAGGTGACAAGTGGGTGACATTGGGCCCTGGGGGTGGCCCCTGGCCTAAGGGGTTCTCAGAGGCCTTTCTACTGGGCTGGGGTCCCTGACTGCCTCATGGGAGAAGCTGCTCAATACCTGCCTAATCAGGGATCCTCTTCCTCTCTCCTTCTTCCGGGCTTTAGGGGCTGCCTGCGGCCCTGCCCGTGCCCTGTACTGGTCCTGACTCCAGGTGCACCCAGGTCCTACCGCTCCACCACTTTTGGGGGCCAGGCTGGGCCCCTGCTCCAGGCTCCCGGGTCCCTCCTGGGGGTTCTTCTATTCCTAGCCGCTCCCGTGGGGGCTTCGCTCCTAGCCACCCAGGCCCAGCCTGGCATCAGGGGTAATGGTGGGTGTTGGGCAGCTGGGGTGGAGGCCTCCAAGAGGTCCTGACCCAGACCCGTGCCCAGGCCAGGCTGTCCCACCCAGGCCCTAGGTGCTGTCCTGCCCGGGCTCTGAGGGTGGAGGACGGGAGGAGAATGGTGGGGTCTGTTCTTGGGGGAGGCATCCCTTCGGCCTTCCCGATAGCCCCTGCCGCTGTGTCTCTGCTGCCCCGGGTGTGCCGAGGCCGCCATGTCTGGCCTCCTGTGTTGGCTTCCTGCGGACTGCTTCCGAGGGAGGGAAGGAGAGCGCATGCCACGAGGGTGGCGGCTGAGGCAGTGGTGGGCCGGAGGTTGGGGAGGCCTGCCTGGCACGTGGGATTGTGTGTGTGTGTGTGTGTGTGCTCACACGCACGGAGCTGGAGTGTGCTAGATGTGTGTGACAAGAGGCATGTCTGTCACATGGCTGTGCGGCTCCGGCGAGCCAAGTCCCTTCCAGCCCTTTCCCTCCTCGCATCCAGTATCTTCCTTAAGCAAAGTTAGTGATGTCGGTGTTAGGGACCGTTGATGGGGGAGGTGGAGAATGGGTACACACACACACACACACACACACACATCGGTCCCCTCTTTGGCGGCTGGCTCAGTGGGAGGAAGTGACTGAGTCTTTGGAGATAGTCGAGACCTCCTGGAAGACCAAAAGGAGGGGGAGAGGATGGCTGGCAGAGGCCAGGCCCTCCTGGGGAGGGGCACCCTGCCCTGATTTCTGCCCTCGTACTTGGGATTAACTCTTCCCCAGCTGGCCCCCAGCACCTCAGCTCTTCTCTGGGCCCCACACGGCTTCTCATCTTGGGGAGATCCTGGTTCTTCCTGCGGAAGCAGCCAAGGCGGGCCCTCCCGCAGGCCTTCCTGTTTATGCGTCTGTGTACCCGGGAGCGTGGCCTCACGTGGCCCACGGCCCTTTCCTGTCTTATCTCCATCACCGCGGTGGTGCCCTTGCCCCGGATGAGGAAACTGAGGCCAGAGAGAGGAAGTGCTGGCTGGCGTGGTGTCACGCAGAAGGCCTGAGGGGACAGAGCCCAGTGGGACCTAGAACCTTGCTCCTGGTTGGGTGCTTTTCTCCCCTGCTGAGACTTGGGAACCCTGTGAGGACTGGGTCACTGGGCTACAGGAGTCGCTACCCCACGTCTCTCACCCTTTGGCTCACTTCTCTCTGTGACCTCAGCCAAGGCCCTCCCCTTTCGGCCCGCAGTTTCCCCATCTGCACGGGGCAGGAGTGTCTGGACCGGGCCTGAGCTGGTTAACTGCAGCGCTGGGCGCCCGCCTGGCTGGTTAAGGGCGGTCGGGTGGCAGGTGGGCCTTGCGGCAGGGGCCGGGACTCGTGTGCCGGCCTTTGTCCTGGGCTGAGGGGGTGGGCTGGGGGAGGCGGGTTTTGTGCTCAAGGCGAGCCTTTCTCCTCCCTATGGTCCCCTTGTTGGGGGGAGAGGTGGCAGCAGCCCCACCACTCCCCTCCTCTGCAGCAGATGGTCCCCGGCCACCCCTCCCCTGCCCCAGCAGGCTGCGTGTCCCTTTGTTTCCCGCGGCTGCCTGTGAAGTTTTCACCATTGTCAGGTCCCCTCCTTAAACAAGTCAAATGCAGCCCTTGGCTCCAAAGAAACTCTGCCCATCGCTCTGTGCCAACCTTAGGATTCCCAGGGACTGAAAGCGCCAGCCTCACTGCCCTCTCCTGTGCCCCCGCCCCCTCTGGACCTGGACTCCCCTTCCCGGCTCTCTCCCTCACTCTGTTCATGGCTGCTGGTGTTTTGTTTTGTTTATTTTGAGACAGAGTCTCACTCTGTTTTCCAGGCTGGAGTGCAGTGGCACGATCCTGGCTCACTGCAACCTCCGCCTCCTGGTTTCAAGTGATCCTCAGCTTCCTGAGTAGCTTGGACTACAGGCATGCGCACCACGCCCGGCTAATTTTTCTATTTTTAGTAGAGATGGGGTTTTGCCATGTTGGCCAGGCTGGTCTTGAACTCCTGGCCTCAAATGATCCACCTGCCTTGGCCTCCCAAAGTGCCTATTCTCCTGCTTTATTCAGGCTTACTAGATCTTCACCGGGAAACAGTCCTCAGCCCATTTGGCCCATGCTCCAAGCTTGAGAGTGTTTCACTATCGGGTGGCTGTTTGGTGGCAAAAGTTTGTCGAGGGCAGGGTAGGAAAGGCCTGGTTTCTTTGATAGGATCCCTTGAGGCTGTGTTGAAAACCGACTTGGGGTGGAGGCAGGGAGCAGGGAGGCCAGGGAGGAGGGCCTGCAGCAAAGCAGGCAGCAGGTGACGACAGTGGCGGGGACTAGGTGGCCGGGTGGGCCGGAGGGAAGAGCAGCGTCCCAGACGATTTGGAGGCTGGTGAGCAGAATTGATGACAGGCTCGGGAAGAGGTGTGAGAGGAAGAGAGGAGGAGCGGGGAGTCTGAGGTTTTGGGTCCCAACCAGTGAGAGGGAGGAGCAGGTCTTGGGGAGAACGGGGGCTCAGTCTTGATGTGTTAAGCCCCCAGGAGACGTCATGGTTTCAGGGGATTTGACAGTTTGGAGCTCAGGGAGAGGCTAGGGCTGGTGGTGTCCACGAGTCTCCAGCTCCCTGATGGTGTTTAAAGCTGAGAGGCTGCATGGCGTCACTGACGGAGTGGGCTTCATGGAGAAGCGGACCAGGGTCTAGGCTTGGACCACCACCATTTCCCCCTGCGGAAATCCAGAGACCTCCAGCATTCGCTAAATCTGACGGTGGGAGACAGACCCCAGGGAGAGAGGCTCAGAGGGTGGATGCTGCACAGGCCTTCCTGAGGAGAGCCAGGTGCCGGAGCAAGGAGACAAATTGGACCCAGCCTGTGGTCTCCAGGATGCCATCGTCTGGTGGAAGAGACGGGGAGAGAAATTTCTGTAACCAGGGAGTTTTGCTAACTGCTGTTAGTGACAGGAGAAACAGAGGGCTGAGGAACACATAGCAGGGGCCTCTAAAGTAGCTGGAGGGGTGTCAGGGAAGGCTTCCTGGGGAAGGTGATGCCTGAGCTGGGAGCTAGAGGGTGGAAAGAGGGCATAGCATGCGCAGAGGCTCAGAGGCGTGCGCACGTGCGTGTGTGTGTGTGTGTGTGTATGCGTGCGTGTGTGTGCGTGTGTGTGTGTGAGAGAGAGAGACAGAGAGAGAAGCCCCAGGGGTGGACAGGAAGTAATGAGATCAGACTACATCAGGCAGGGTGGCCAGGTGGCCCCTCACTGGCCACACTTAGGGAGGCTGGCCTTTATCCCAAGAGTAGTAGGGAGCCATGGAAGGTGTTAGTGGCTGGTGGGTGGAGTTGGGTGTTACTCGATTCTGGTCCTGGCAGGGAAACATATCTGAGGGAATGAGGCAGAGTCTTGCAGTAGTCCAGTGAGAGGTGATAGTGGCTCAGAAGCAGGGCTGTGGCCATGGGCCTTAGGAGATAGCCTGGCTCCCTCCTGCCCCTTCCTGTGTCAAACCTGGCTCCCGGCCTCCTGGCCTCCTATGCCTCAGTTTCCCCTGAAATACAAGTAGTTGAGCCTGACTTCACTGTCAACTCTTCCTTGCTCTTTTACACACAATCTTGTTTTATTCTCACAGCCACTACTATCCCCCTTTTGTAGATGGGTAAACTGAGGATCAAGGCGGGGACTCTTCTGATCTGAAGGGCTAATTCCTGGAAAGGAGGGAGGGGATTTTAGGTAAGCAGAGGGGAGCATTGCAGTTGGAGGCGCTGAGCTTCAAGGGAGGACAGGGTTAAGCCACGAGTGTGGCCCCAGTGGGGGCTGAGAGAGTCGGAGGGCTTTAAAGAGGTGGGACACTTGGAAGGGGTCCGGAATTGTCCTGAGTCCTGGGCCGGGCAGTCCCAGGGCCGGGGAGGCCCTCAAAGGCCCCTGATGCTCAATGGGTGAGAGGACCCACTTGGGCAGCTGAGAAGCTCTGCCATGTTGGGCCGGGCATGGAATGGGAAGAACACCAGTCCCCAGCCTGGCTTGTCTTTGTCCCCAGCCTGGCTTGTCTTTGTCGCATCCATGTACTTCCTCTACCTCTCATTCAGAGTCTGAGCTTGGATTATGTAGGGGCTGAGCAGCTTTAGCTGCCTGGGAGGCGGTGGGGAGAGGTCCGGGGCCTATGGGTTTGAATCTCAGCCTGGCACTTGCCAATCCTGGTCCATCACTCAGCCTCCTTTTTGTCATCTGGAAAGGGAACAGATGACAACGCCTGCCTCGTGAGGTTTGAGGGTCGTTGCGGGCAAGTGCATGTCCAATCTGGGAGAGCCGGACTGGGTTGTGAGGCAGCATTTCCGAGATGGCTTGCACAGGGGGTTTGTGTGGCTGTGAAGGTGTGACGTCTCCCTAGTGGCGTGGTGTCCCATGGTGTGGCCGTGGGTCTGTTCACATAGAGTTTGTGTCCTGAAAATGGGTTTAAGATTGTGTTCTGTGATTGTGGAGGAGCCGAGTGCAGCTGTGATTGTGTGTGTGTGTGTGATTGTGTGTGTGTGTGATAGAAGAGGGTGAGATGCTGCCCAGGTGTGTGGCTGTGGTTGGGTCCCTGTGGTGCTGCTCTGGAAAGGGGGTGAGTGTATGTGTTTAGACTGTGGGCTGTGTACACCCTGAAGTTGTGTGTCTACAAAAGCTGGGTTGTGTGTGTTGTATGTTGTCCTAAAGGAGCGTGTGACCATGAGAGGGGTGTGTCTGTCACTGGAGGAGTACAGAGTCCATCTGGGGCCTGGTGGTGGTGGGCTGTGGATTGGTCTGGGGTGTCCCTTGGGCCGATGTGAGTCCTGACCCCTTCTTCTCCTTCCTAGACATTTGTCTTCACCGACAGCCCAGACAAAGGCCTCCAGGAGAGACTGGGTAACTCTGCCCGGCCTGGGTGTGGTGGGGGACTTTAGCTGTTGCCTGGGAAAGCTGGGGCGGCTGTGCCCTGGCCTGAGGGTTCCCAGGAAATGGGCCGCCCACCCTTGGCATGTGGAGATTCCCCTTTGCCCAGGAGGGAAGTGGGCCTCTTCCCTGGAAACTGGTGTGGGCGTGGGTATGGGGAAGAGCGGTGCTGGACAAGGCCCTGGACACCTGAGTCCCAGCCCAGCCTGCTGTCCACTAGGTCTGTGGTCCTGGGCAGGTCTGCCTTCCCCGGGTCTCAGTCCTACCATGTGTAAAATGGGAGTGGGTGGGCTGCTCCAGACTCCCTGTTGCCCAGCCTTGCTCTGTATTCTGTGTTCAGGGCTCTGAAGGGGGGACCTGGGCAGGGTCCCCTGACTCCTCCTCACTTCTCCAGGGTCCCACCTTGTGGTCACCAACTGCTCCGCGGAACACAGCCACCCAGCTCTGTCCTGCAAGATGGCTGCTGAGTTCGACACCTTCTTGGCCAGTGGGCTTAGGCGAGTGTTCCTGGGTCTCTGGGGATAAGTGTGGTCTGGGCCCAGTGAAAATAACCCCTGGGACTCCTGGGGTCTGACTTCAGCCCCCACTCCTCTAGCAGGCAGTGGGCAGATGGCTGGGAAGTCCAGCTGGGTTCCAGTCCTGACATTCAGGATTGGGTATGTGACCTTGGGAAAATGGCTTTTTTTTTTGAGACAGAGTATCGTTCTTCTTGCCCAGGCTGGAGTGCAAATGGTGCAGTCTCGGCTCATTGCAACCTCCGCTCCTGGATTCAAGCGATTCTCCTGCCTCAGCCTCCCAAGTAGCTGGGATGACAGATGCCCACCATCATGCCTGGCTAACTTTTGTAATTTTAGTAGAGACGGGGTTTCACCATGTTGGCCAGGCTGGTCTCGAACTCCTGACCTCAGGTGATTCACCTGCCTCGGCCTCCTAAAGTGCTGGGCTTACAGGCGTGAGCCACCACACCTGGCCAGGGCGAGTGTCTTAACCTCTCAGTCTTGGTCCTCAACTGTGAAGTGGGTACCCTCCTCATGAGCTTACACAATATGCAACTTGGCACAAAACAGATGCCTTAAATGTCAGCCTCTCCCACCCCTACCCCCATTCCGTCACTGTTGACCGACTGTGGGGGTGCTTGGGGACCCTGGCTTGGAACCCCCCCAACAAGTTCACTGTCCCCGTTTCATCCCTACAGGTGGTTCTGCCATGTGGACGATGACAACTATGTGAACCCAAGGGCGCTGCTGCAGCTTCTGAGAGCCTTCCCGCTGGCCCGCGACGTCTATGTGGGAAGGCCCAGCCTGAACCGGCCCATCCATGCCTCAGAGCCACAGCCCCACAACCGCACGGTGGGTCCCTCTCCTCCTCCTTTGCCCCTTGGCCCGCTGATCCCAAGGGCCGGGCCGGTCCTGGGGGTGGGGGTGTGCTAGAGAGGTGAGAGGGGTTCTGGGTTTCAGGTTTGGCCCTATGTGGGTTTGGGCTGGTAGCTTCCCCTCTTCAACCCTCAGTCTCTTCCTCTGTGAAATGGGGAGACTGAGATCATGCAGTCGTGGCACAGACACAGTACATAGTGAGGCCTCCATCCCCCAGGAACCACGGCTTGTCCTGGTCACTCAGGGAGCATCCAGGTGAGCTGAGGCTGTGTGACACCACAGCAGGGCTCCCAGTCACCTGGTGTCCCCATGTAGGTGTGCAGGTTGTTAAAATGCTGGAATGGCTGGGGGCAGTGGCTCATGCCTGTAATCCCAGCACTTTGGGAGGCTGAGGTGGGTGGGTGACCTGAGGTCAAGAGTTCGAGACCAGCCTGACCAATATGGTGAAACCCCGTCTCTACTAAAAATACAAAAATTAGCTGGGCATGGTGGCGGGCACCTGTAGTCCCAGCTACTCGGGAGGCTGAGAGAGGAGAATCGCTTGAACCCAGGAGGCGGAGGTTGCAGTGAGCTGAGATTGTGCCACTGCACTCCAGCCTGGGCGGCAGAGCGAGACTCCGTCCCTCCGTCAAAAAAAAAAAAAAAAATTGCTGAATACTGTGGGGCTGGGTGATTGCTGCCACCTGAGCCCCAGAACCCTTCCCCACCTTCCCCTCCTGGGGCACCCTCTCCCTCCAGACACCTCCACTAGCCTGTGACTGAAGAGTCGACACCTGGCAAAACAGGGGGCTCTGTACCCGCCTCAGTTCCTGACCTGGATGGACACTGATTTGGGTTGCCAGATTCATTAAACAAATAAATGAAAAACCACTACATCCAGTTAAACTTGACTTTCTCATAAATAATGAGGAAATTTTTAGTATAAGTATGTCCCAAATATTGCATGGTTCTCTCCCTGTCCCCAGGACCCCCTGGGCATCAGGTGTTAGAGTGGTCCTGGCCCTAGGGCTCCCTTGGCTCCAGGAAGAAGGCAGATCGGGAGGTCCCTCTCTAGAGGCAGTGCCTGGTGCAGGAGCTGGGCACACAGCGGGGCTCAACCTCCCTTCCCAGGTCCCCATCTGCTTCATTAGGAAAACCAAGAGCAGAAAACACAGAGCCTTAATTATCAGTAGCTAATCAGCCTCTGAGCCTTAATTAAATTCTTCTGGGCCCTAGGGCTCTGTGTATGAGTGATTCCAGGGGAGCCAGGGGGTCCCCCAGGCTCTCACACCACTTCACTGCTGGCGACTCACCTCTGCCTAAGCAGTTTGCCTCTGGGGTGGAGAACTGCACGCTGGAGCCTGACTCCCTGGGTTTACACGGCAGCCCTGCCACCTCCTGGCTTTGTGACCTTGACTGAGGTCACCTCACCTCTCTGTGCCTCAGTTTCCTAATCTGTGAAATGGGTGATAACAGCCCCTACTCAAAGAGTGGTCGTGAACACAGAAGAAAGAATGAAATGAGGTCATCTCTCCAAGTCCTTGGAATGAGACCTGGCACGAAGTCAACACTAGAAAGTGTTAGTGATCTGAGGCCGGGCGCGGTGGCTCATATCTGTAATCCCAGCACTTTGGGAGGCCGAGGCAGGTGAATCACCTGAGGTCAGGAGTTTGAGACCAGCCTGGCCAACAAATAGTTAAACCCTGTCTCTACTAAAAAATACAAAAATTAGTTGGGCGTGGTGGCGCACGTCTGTAGTTCCAGCTATTTGGGAAGCTGAGGCTGGAGAATCGCTTGAACCTGGGAGGCGGAGGTTGCAGTGAGCAGAGATGGTGCCACTGCACTTGAGCCTGGGCAACAGAGCAAGACTCTGTCTCTTAAAAAAAAAAAAGTGTTAGTGATTTGTATTGGACACAGCCTGACCTTTGTTTCCCAGCCACATCTTTCCTATGCACACTCAGGCCCCGTCAACCTAGGCCCACCTCTGTGGCCCAGGAGAGCAGGTGCCATGTTCGGCAGCCCCTCCCAAGCCACATGGAGTGAGGTAGAGACCTTTCTCAGGGGAAAGGGGCATGGTGGCTGGGTGGGTAAAACAACACCTGTCCCCTTTAACTGGAATTCAGCTGGACTTGAGTCTGATCAGTGACCTCACCACTCATAATTAACTATGTGACTTCGGGCCTCTGTTTTCTTATCTATAGAATGGGTGCAATAATGCCAGGTTGTAGCAAGACTCTAGTGAGATTCAAAATAAAGGGCTTTTGAGCCATGCTGGTTGGGGGTGAAGGGTGGCCTGGCTGTCCCTTTTCCCCACAACTGCCACCAGGCTCACTCTGCCCCTTGGCCTTCCTCTCTCTCAGAGGCTGGTACAGTTCTGGTTTGCCACTGGGGGTGCTGGCTTCTGCATCAATCGCAAACTGGCTTTGAAGATGGCTCCGTGGGCCAGGTAAGCAGAGACCCAGGGGTGGGCAGGAAGGCGGGGAGGGGGTGGCAGCTGGGGTACAGGAGGGGCCTTTGCAGCAGGAAGGGCTTTGAGAGTGAGCTCAGGAGAAGCTGCTCCTCATTTGCGTGTGTCACAGAGCGGCAGTTGGTGGTGAACAAGCCACCTGCCACCTGCCCTCAGGGGCTGCACGGCTGAGCGCATGACGTGCCACTCACAGGCAAGTCATGTCATCTCCAAGAGCCCCAGTCCCCCCGTCGGCACATGGACCTGATAATGCAGTGGCCAATGGTGTAGTAAGGGTTAAATGAGAAAATGTCTGGGCTGGCCCTGGTAGGTGCTATTTACCGCCCTTTTCTGACTGGTCAATGCCGTAGGGGAGGTGAAGGCCAAATCTAAGGGTCTTCAGAGGAGGGAGAAGGGCCTTCTGGGTGAGGGAAGAAGGGAAGGCTTCCAGGAAGAGGTGGTATTTGAGCTGGGACAGTCCACTATACACTGGGCCATCTAAGGGAGATGATATTACTCCTAATAGCACAGTGGGTGTACATCCTGTGATATTATTCATAATATCATCTAAGGGAGATGATATTACTCCTAATATTATGAGGGGATCTCAGGGGTAGTGGAGGCCGCAGTGTGGGTGGGGGTGGGACACAGGTGTTCTAGAAGTGGCGAGGCCTGGCTTCTGGAGGTCTTTCCGGGCTATTATTATTATTAACAGCACCATCAGCAGCCACTCCCTTGTATTGAGGACTGACTCTGAGCCAGCTCTGTGCTCCATCAAGAGGATCACAACACCTGGGGGAGAAGGTGGCATTAGTCTTGTTTCTAGATCTCAGGCAACTGAGGCACTGAGATTAAGCCAGTCTGAGGTCAGCCAGGTTCAAGGTCACTCAGCTGCTGGGTTTGGCTCCAAGGTCTGCAAGCCTTGCTACTACCCAAGCCTGCCCTGCCTTGCCCTGGCTGGGAGGGGCGCCCCAGGCAATTCATACTGGACAAGAGCGGGCTCATTGTCCTGGGGCATGTCCACAGAACTGTGTGTGTACACATGACCAGGGTCATCCGTGTGCCTGGGGTGCCCCCACCCAGGCTTCTGCCCACCTCTAAATTACCTTTGTGTGAATTAGAAAAAGCCCTCTCCCTCCAACTCCTGCAGGTGCAGCTTGAGGGCATGCAGGCTGGGGAGGGGAGTGCAGGCTGGGGAGGGGAGTGCAGGCTGGGGAGGGGAGTACAGGCTGGATTTCCACACCCACTTGCCCCTTGGACAAGCATCCAGGGCAGCGGCATTAATGGGGTATACGCGGCCAGTTGAAGTCCATGCCTGGGACTCTGTTCCTGTCTCCCCTCAGCACTGGCTGACTCCAGCCCATCCTGCAAGACTCTGTTTAGGTGGCTCATGCCTGTAATCCCAGCACTTTGGGAGGCTGAGGTGGGTGACTCACTTGAGGTTAGGAGTTCAAGACCAGCCTGGCCAACGTGGTGAAACTCTGTCTCTACTAAAAATACAAAGATTAGCCGGGCATGGCAGCGGGTGCCTGTAGTCCCAGCTATTCAGGAGGCTGAGACAGGAGAATTGCTTAAACCCAGGAGGCGGAGATTGCAGTGAGCCGAGATTGCACCACTGCACTCCAGCCTGGGCAATGAAGGGAGACTCTGTCTCAAAAACAAACAAACAAACAAACAAACAAATGAACACACAAAAAAGCTGCCACCTCCTCTGGAAAGCCCGCCTGATTCTCCCTGTACCCCCAGGCAGCATGCTTCCCTCTGACTTAGCACCACTCTTTGAAAGACCTGCTCCCTGCTCTGTCTCCCGCCAGAATAGGGGCTGCTGTTGGGGGCAGGAAGCGTTTCTTTCTCATCTCTGTATCCTCAGCCCTAGCATGGTATCTGGCACCAGCAATGAATAAATGAGTGAATGAATGAATGACAAGACAGAGAGAGAAGGAAAGGCTACATTTATAAAGGGCATCACCTTCCCATTCCCTGTTTAATCCTCACGACAGCTCCACGAAGACACGGCCATTAGCATCCCCATTTCACAGAACAGGAGACTGAGGCTGAGGCTCCCCAAGGTTCCTGACTTGCTCAAGGTCATACAGTATGCAGGAGGCAGGTGCTCTGTTCTGCCAGCTTGTCCCAGTGGAGGGCCTTCATGGGGTGGCCCACGGCTCTGGGTGTGGAGGGCCTGGGCCAGCGTCTGCAGTCTGGCTCTGTCCCTCAGTGGCTCCCGTTTCATGGACACATCTGCTCTCATCCGGCTGCCTGATGACTGCACCATGGGCTATATCATTGAGTGCAAGCTGGGCGGCCGCCTGCAGCCCAGCCCCCTCTTTCACTCCCACCTGGAGACCCTGCAGCTGCTGAGGACTGCACAGCTCCCAGAACAGGTGAGCTGGCCTTGGGGGCAGGTGGCAAATGGGAAGGGGAACCAAAGGAACATGGGGTCCCCCCAACCCTCCCTCCTGGCGTTTGAAAGAAACCTGGAACTCCAGATTATGGGTCTTGGGTATTCCCTATTGATGGGGAAACTGAGGCCTAGGGTGGCAAAGGACACCCTAAGGGTACACAGGGACTCAACCCCTTCACCTCTAACCCTCAAGGATTAGCATTTGTGAAGCTGAAATTCTTTGATCTGGTCCTCAAATGCCGGGAAGGACCTGAACAAATGAGATGAGGTTGTCTTCAGGTTCCCACCACCCTGCTCTCCACCCATACCTCTACTCAGTCTTCCATCCTCCCCACATTCCTCCCGGGGAGCCCAGCTGGCTCTTCTAATTTTACCTGTTAGGAGCCCCTTCCTTCATCAAAACTCCCCTATCCATTGCTCAGTGCTGTTCCTGCCAACCCTGAGGTTACCGGGATGGAATGGGTCTTTGGGGGGACGCTCAGCATTATGTTAGGCTGGGGGAGGAGGGGGACCCCATCCCACCACCTGGCAGGTGATACAGGTCCAACTGGCTCTGCCTCGGAGAGGCTGCCCTCTGACACTGTAGATGGTCCTGGCTGGGAGCGTCCCCGGGATCTCCTGCCCAACAGTGTGACAGAAACTCAACGTGAACTGGCTAACCTGAAAAGGAAATTGTTGGCTCACATAACTGAGAAGCTCTCCCCCAAGTTGGCCCATCCTCAGGTGGGCTCAGCCCTCATGTTGGCAAGATGGCAGCCCCAGCTTTCCCCCCACTATCGGAGGAGAGCGCCTCCTTCCTTCAGATCCCCGGGCTGGCGTTCATTGATTTGATGACTGGGCTTGGGTCAGGTGACCCATCTCCTACCAGCACCTGGAGTTAGTGTTGATTGGCCAGGCCTGGAACTGGGGTGTGAGGTTGGTCCCATTAGGATGGCAGGGCCTGAAGCCAGGAAAGAGAGGCAGATTTGAGGCAGCCCAAACCAGGGCATCCTAATGGTTAGGGTATCCTGAGTACCCACAATGCCAGGCACCACACTGGGGTCCTTCCCTTCTTTTTTTTTTTGAGATAGAGTCTCGCTCTGTTGCCCAGGTTGGAGTACAATGGCACGATTTTGGCTCTCTGCAACCTCCACCTCCCGGGTTCAAGTGATTCTCCTGCCTCAGCCTCCTGAGTAGCTGGGACTACAGGCACCCACCACCATGCCTGGCTATTTTTAGTAGAGACAGGGTTTCACCATGTTGGCCAGGCTGGTCTCGAACTCCTGACCTCAAGTAATCCACCTGCCTCAGCCTTCCAAAGTGCTGGGATTACAGGCATGAGCCACCGCACCCAGCCACCCTTCTTTAACTCTCTGGTTCCTCACAGTAGTCACATGAGGTCAGTACTAACATTATCCCCATTCTATAGATGGGGAAAATGAGACCCAGCGAGCTGAACTGACCACGGCACACAGCTAATATGGGGCAGAGGGGCACTGGAACCCTAGCTGGGTGGTCCCTATGCCCACAGTCTTTAACCACTGTGCTCTACAGCCTCTGAGCTGAAATCATGATCCATGTCGTCACTGCCTGGTGGAGTAGGGGCTCCGGGTGAAGAGGGATGTGCCAAGGCCCTCCAGTGAGTCTCAGAAAACCTCCATTCTAGTCCAGGCTTGCAGCTTACTGGAAAGCTGCCTTTTCCTGTTGAGCCTCAGTTTCCAAATCTGTAGATGGGGGTATTGTTCCAGCTTCTCAGGGGAGCTCAACTCTTGAGGGAGCAAATGGGATTAAGGGCATGGCAGTGCTCTTCCAGCTGTGAAGTGCCTTGGGGCGTGGGGTGGGCTCCCACCACCAGCGGGGAATTTCAGGTTCCCGGGCAGCTTTCCCTGCAGCTTAAAACCCCTCCTCCACCTGTGCCAGGATGCTGCCCCCTTGTGGGGATCCCCAGTGTGATGCCCCAACACTCTTCTATCTCCCTGCCCAGGTCACCCTCAGCTACGGTGTCTTTGAGGGGAAACTCAACGTCATTAAGCTACAGGGCCCCTTCTCCCCGGAGGAGGACCCCTCCAGGTGGGTCTGGGGGCTGGAACCTTGGATGGGAGGAGTGGGGGCTGAGTCCAGGCATCCAAACATGGGGGAGCTGGGAGGGAGTGGAGTGGGACAGGCTTTGGTGGCTGACAGCACAGAGCTAGGAGTGGAGGGAGTGGATTTCAGTTTCTGACCCTGCCACTGGCTTGCTGTGTGACCTTGGGCAAGTGTCTTGCCCTCTCTGGGATTCGGTCTCCCATTAGTAACACCTGGAGGCTGGCCATGATGGATCTGAAGAGCTCTCCCAGCCCCAATCCTCTGGGGTTCTTTGGGAGTCCCTGGAAGGCTGAAATGCCTTCCCTGAGCACAGGCAACGCTCTCATGGTGGAACTTCAGGCTCTGGTGGGGGATTTTTATTTTATCTCTTTTGGACTCCTTGTTTCTTTGATACTCTTAAATGCTTCTTTTAGGCAGGTAAAGGGTTGGAATAACACCTTCCAGTTCTGCCCAGAACTGGCCACGGGGAGATGGGCCACCCAAATCCGCTCCTGACTGGTCTAGAGCAGTCTTGGAGCATAGCCTGTGATATGCAGCTTCCTTTCCACACACCAGCACCTGCCAGCTGTGGCTTTTTTTTTTTTTTTTTTTTTTTTTGAGATGGAGCCTCGCTCTGTTGCCCAGGCTGGAGTGCAGTGGTGCGATCTCGACTCACTGCAACCTCCGCCCCCCGGGTTCAAACAATTCTTCTGCCTCAGCCTCCCGAATAGCTGGGATTACAGGCGCCTGCCACCATGCCTGGCTAATTTTTGTGTTTTTAGTGGAGGCGGGGTTTCACCATGTTGGCCAGGCTGGTTTCGAACTCCTGACCTCAAGTGATCCGCCTGCCTTGACCTCCCAAAGTGCTAGGATTACAGGCATGAGCCGCTGCCCCCGGCCCAGCTATGGCTTGTGATTCTGGCCAGGGGTGGCGGGATGGGGGTGGAGAGGAGTTGGGGGAGGGGACACATGGACTCTGGGCCCATCAGTCCAACCCCAGAACTGATGCTTGACCCCTTCCCAGCATCTCTGCCAACTGATGGGCTGGCTTCACCTTGCATGCCTACAGCCATGGGGAGTTCCTCCCTCCTGTGGCAGTCTGTTCCATCTCTGGGCAGCTGGACTAGCCCCAACCCTTCTATTTGCATTTCTGCTCCTTGTAGTGACATGCAATGGGTCTGGGAACTGGGGAAGGAGCCCTGATTCTGCCTTTGGAGACTTAGCAGGGACTCAGGGAGGTAACGAGTAGAGGAGGGCATGAGGTGAACTCTGGGCCCACTTGAGTGACAGAGACTTGTCCAGAGGGAGTCCTGGGGGACGGGGAGTCTGGGACACTGTGTGTGTAGGGGATGAGGGTGAGTATGCCAGTATAGGTTGTTATGGGAGAGTAAGTCAGAGCCCTGATGTTGACTGGGGAGTAGGGGCTGGCCGGGGAAGGCTTCTGTGAGGAGGTAACGTGAAGGACCTGAAGGGCTAGCAGGAGTTCGCTAGGAGAAGAGCAGGTGGCAGATCACTCCCGCAGAGGGGACAGCATATGCAAAGGCCTGATAGCAGGAGACAGGCCTTGACCTGCTCAAGGTAGGAACGGGAGACTGTGTGACTGGAATGTGGAGAAGAGGAGGGAATGGTGTCAAATTTGGTTGGGGACGTGGCAGGGGCCTCTCCAAGGCCTTTGTAGGCTCTGTCTGGACGCTTGTGATGCTTGGAGGAACCAGGGCCCCTGGCCCTGACGTTCTGCAGTGCTGCCTGTCCTGGGGCAGAGGGCTCCCATGATGCTGAGGGCCCTTGCGGCCAAGGCTGCGTTGAACAAGTTGGATATTACAAGGAGATAGAATTTGGCTCGATATAGGAACAAAAATTCAAAATTCCAAGACGAACGAAGCTGCCTTCTAGTAGGATGAGCTCCCCGTCAGCAGTGTGTAAGCCGTAGCTATACTGACAAGAGGTTTAAGAATTGCTGTTAAATTTCCTCAAAGCTTGAAGATTCTAGAAGTCATAGATTACTGCCAAATGGGTCTGGAGCCACCTAGAGATTCAGATGCATGTGATCAGATGATTGGCCTCAGCTGAGGTCTCTTTATGGCTTCTCTGGCTTTTGAAGTTTCTCCAAACTAGCGGTTCTCAAGTGGGGGTGATTTGTCTCTTAGGGGACGTCTGGCAATGTCGGAGACATTTTTGATTCTTATGATTCAGGAAGATGCTACTGGAATCTTGTGGGTAGAGCCCAGGAATGCTGTTAAATATCTCGCAAGGCACAGGACAGCTCCACAACAAAGAATTCTCTGGCCCTAAGTGTTAGTGGTGTTGAGGTAGAGAAACCCTGCTCCAAACCGCCTCTGTGGCATGTGTGCACCTAGGAGAGTGGGCTGAGAGCAGAAGTGGGGGGTGACCATCCTGTCCTTTTCTGGTCTCTCTGCAGATTTCGCTCCCTCCATTGTCTGCTCTATCCAGATACACCCTGGTGTCCCCAGCTGGGTGCCCGATGAATCCTGAACTGCTGGGCAAAGGTTGGGCAGAGACTTCTGGGTGTGCCTTGGCTCCCAAGGTGGCACTGTGGGTCCCTGGCAAGTGTCTTGTGATAGGCAGTCCCTGGCAGGGCCTTCGGGTGGTTGGCAAGCCCAGGATCTGAGTGGCAATTGGCACTGAAGGCACCCCAGGCCCCTGGGAGGTGAGTTAGACAGCCCAGGGGACCAGGTGGACCAGGTGGTGGCCAGAGAGGCTCCAGGGGCTAGACTCCCTCAGGAGGCTGAATTGAAAAAGGGCAGGGGGCACTTGAGCTGGGCTGGGGCTCAGGGGTCCTAACCCTTTAGGCAGTGACATGGCCTCTGGGTGGGGTCTGGCCGTTGGCCCTGGCTAATGTCTCTCAGTCATTCCCCTGGGGCTCAAGCGCTGGGCCGCCCACTCCTGCCTCCCTCATCTGTGTCCCGAGTTCCTGAAGGGACATGGGTGGAATGATGGCAGAATCCAGGGTCTGCAGCACCTGCTGTTGTTGCCAACCAGTCTCCCAAAGCTCCTTGCTCCCCACCCCTTGCGAACAGGACCAGATTTTGTTTGGAGCCTCAGCATGCCGGGGCCCAGATGATGGAGCATAACGGGTCCCAGCCAATTGTGATGATCCTTTTTGCTCATTTCCCAGCCTTTCTTGCTGTTAGGGGCTACCATGGGACCAGCTCTGGCCAGAGGGAACTAAGCAAATCCAATAGAGATGTTTCTGGGGAAGGTTTTGCAGCCCACTCCCCATCTTCCTGCTATAAATGTGGGTGTGATGGCTGGATCTGGGGCAGCCACCTTGCTACCATGAAGGAAAGGCCAAGACAATCATCCACAGCTATTCCCTCCAGCATCTGGTTCTGTACAAAAATTAAATGCTTATTTGTTTAAGTCTCTCTTGGTCCAGTTTTCTGTTACATGCAGCCAAATTGTTCCTGACGGGGTATGGTCTTTATCTGTCTATCACAGTGGAGATGGTGATCACTTTTGGTGGTGTGATATGATGTGTGCAAAGACCATGTTACAGAGCCTGGCACAGAGAAAGGAAGGGCAGAGTGGCTGGTGACTGTTACTAGTGTGTTTGTGAGTCCTGGTGTGTGAGGCGGTACACAGGTGTATGTGTGTGTGTGGCATGTACCTTCTACATGTGTCTGTGCATAAACATGTCCATGTGTTTTTTTTTTTTTTTTTTTTTTTTTTTGAGACAGAGTCTCACTCTGTTACCAGGCTGGAGTGCAGTGGCGCAATCTTGGCTCACTGCAACCTCCGCCTGCAGGGTTCAAGCAGTTCTCCCAATTCTCCTGCCTCAGCCCCCTGAGTAGCTGGGATTACAGGTGTGCACCACCGCGCCCAGTTAATTTCTGTATTTTCAGTAGAGACAGGGTTTTACCATGTTGGCCAGGATGGTCTCGATCTCCTGACCTTGAGATCCGCCTGCCTCGGCCTCCCAATGTACTGGGATTACAGGCGTGAGCCACCGCGCCCGGCCTGTGGTGTGTGTTTTTGTGGCTGTGTCGCACATGTGTACATGATGTATACATGTGAGCCTGTGTGCTGTGAGGTGTGGAGTGGTTCCTCCTTTTCTCTGCCCCCAGGGCCTGGGTTGGGGGAGGTCAGAGAATCAGGGAAGGCGGAATGGAGACTCAGGGCTGAGGGACTTAGCCTCAGGTATCAGATAATGGTGCCAAAGGGCGATTTGACAGCCAAGGGCAGGAACTGAATAAATGCAAGTGCCCTTGGAATTTCCGATCCCAAGGAGGTGGATGGATGAATGAAAGTGATCATGGTGAAATTTCAGGCATGGTGGCACATAGGCAGGGGAGGGTTAGAGAGGGGAGGTCTGTGTCATGCCCAGTGATGCTTGGAGTTGGGGTCACAGTGGGGCTCTCAGATGGGGAAGGAGGAGGAGAGATCCCGAGGGCCAGAGGGGCCCTGATCCAGGGAGCCAGGGCTAGGGGCTCCACCCTTGAAGAATCAGAAACTGTCTTCTGGCTACATCTGTGCTGGGGACATCTGGAACCACTGAGCACCTGAAGCCAGCCCCTTTGTTTTCCAGGGAGGAGAGGTCCAGAGAGGGACTGCCACATGCTGTGGTCACACAGTGAGTTGGGTGCAACTGGCCACTTGTGCTTCTCCAAAGCCCCGCTTCTTTCTGGGCTGGCCCAGGGCTGGGTTTATGGGATGCCAGTCGAGTGAGGGCAGCCCCCGGCCCTGCAGCCCCGTGGGGCTGGAATGGTGCCATCCACAGTCGCCGTCCTCCCCACCCCACCCAGGGAAGGCTGCTCATCGGCCCGCATTTAGACGCGGCAGCAGATTTTCGTGTTGCTCCCAGATCCTGAGGGTCGGGTGGAGGGAACAGGACTCGGGCCATCTGCTGCCTCCATTGTCCCAGAATAGCTGGGGGTAGGGAGGGGGAGCAGAGTCAGCAAGGATCAGAATTGGGATGAAGGAAGGAGGGAGTCTGAGTTTAACCCTTTGCGTGTCTGCCTGGGAAGTTAGGAAGCTCCCTGTGCCCTGTGCTGAAGTGACCCATCTGGACCCCAGAGGCAGGGGCTGAGTGTGGGGTGGGGTAGCAAGGTTAGACCACCTAGTCTTGGCCTTGCCATGCCCCTTGGGCACATAGCTGCCGCTGAGCTTCCTCCCGTTTAGCCTGAGCTCTGCCTGCCCATTTTAGGGTGCATGTGGATGAGATACTTTGAGGACCATGAGTGGTCACTGATCCTTCGGCTAGGTGGCTGAGGGTAGGCCCCCATGATAACAGGGACAGAGAGTGACTCCAGAACAGGAGCCCTGGCCTGGGGCAGACACCAGAAGGAGCCTGGAGATCTCCTATAGGGGTCTATGGCTCCCTCAACCAGCCCCTATCCCCAGCAAGGAGTGTGCAGGGGCCCAAGGTAGGTCTCCTCTCCTCCCAGCAACCTTTTTCTTTTTTGAGACAGTCTCACTCTGCCACCGAGGCTGGAGTGCAGTGGCATGATCTTGGCTCACTGCGACTTCCGCCTCCTGGGTTCAAGTGATTCTTGTGCTTCAGCCTCCTGAGTAGCTGGGATTACAGGCATGTGCCACCACGCCTGGCTAATTTTTGTATTTTTAGTAGAGACAGGGTTTTGCCAAGTTGGCCAGGCTGGTTTCAAACTCCTGACCTCAAGTGATCCGCCCGCCTCGGCCTCCCAAAGTGCTGGGATTATAGATGTGCGCCACCGCGCCCAGCCCTGGCAATCTTTTAATTGATGCACCTGCTCCTGCTGTGAGTGAGGTGGACTCCACCCCGGGAGGCTGGTGACCTATCATCTCAGCTTTGCCCTTCTGTAAGTATTGATGCCAGCAGAACTATAAACATACATATCTACCATCAAATGCATGTTGGGGGTCAGGCACTGTTCTAAGTACTTGACATAAATTAATTCATTTCATTCCCACCTATTTGAAGTAGGTACAATCGTTATTCCCGTTTTACAGATTGGGAAACTGAGGCACAGAAGGGGAGAAGGTCCTTGTGCCAGGTCATAGGTCTTCTCGGTGCCAGAGCCAAGGTTGGAGGCAGCCTGGCTCTGCAGTGGTCATCTCGCTGCGGGACAACTGAAGAGTTGGAGAACCTCCTCAGGCCTGGGCTCCACCCTGCTGCCCACCTGTGGCTCTATGCCCTTAGGCAGGTGGCTTCACTGTTCACTGGCCTCTCATCTGTAAAATGGGCACAGTGGCTCCTATGCAGCAGGCTGCGAGGCTTTGAGATGCTGCATAGAAAGCTCCTGATGCGGGGTAGTTGCTCAGTAAGTAGCACCTCTCTGTCCTTGCTGAGCTCACGTTATCAGCAGTAAGAGGTTGGGGTACTGGGCTGGCCATAACCTCCACTCCCCACCTTGGCTGTTATCACAGCAGCCTCCTCGCTGCTCCTGTAGTCCTCTCTCCACTGCTCACTGGCTCCTGGCACAATGGCCTCCTTGCTTGCTGTGGCAGGTGTCATGTTCTCTGCCAGCACCAGTTCTTGCCTCTCCTTGTATTGCAACCCTCACTCCTGCACAGCTGGCTTGTTCTTGTCAAGCTCCCATGTCCCACCTCTTAGGGAGGCTCCCCACTCCCATCACACAGCAGCCACCTGGTGGTCATCAATCACCTCCTGTTATAGTCACTCATAACCTGTCACCCTTGCAGACCTGCCTTCCAGGTATTTGTTTGTTGTCTACTCCCACCTGGCTGTGAGCTCCACGGTCAGGGATCCCCTTGGTTCTGTTCCCTGCAGCTCATGACCTGGCATAGTAGATCCTCAACAAATATCTGAGGAACGAACAGAAACATAAGTGAACGGACTTCTCAGATCTCTTCCAGCTCTGTCAGTGTTTTAAGATGCTATGGAAGATACTGAAATAACTGAGGCAATGCAGTGGGGCTTCCTAATGGAGGGATCAGGCTGGCAATACCAGAACGCACCAAGCCTTCTTAGTATCACCCAGAAAGCGTTCTTAGTATGCTCCAGATGTGATCCCATAGGAAGGACACAGCACTTCCCAGGAAGTCCGCTTGCTAGAATGATTGACCCTACATCACCTCAACCCTCTGGACCTAAACACCAGTCTACAGGAAGCAGGAGGACAGTGCAACATGTTAAATGACACCACGAGGGTTCGGTCTGCCACATCAACAATGAGGACAGTCTCACATGACGAAGGGCCTGGTTTCCTCAACAAGTAAAAGGGCATAAAAAGGAAGAGAGTAAAGACTGTTAGAGAGGAAAATAGATTTAAGGGATAAAGTACCAAAATGCAATGTATGGGTCGGGTGCCATGGCTCACGCCTGTAATCCCAGCACTTTGGGAGGCCAAGGTGGGCGGATCACCTGAGGTCAGGAGTTCCAGACCAGCCTGGCCAACATGGAGAAACCCTGTCTCTACTGAAAATACAGAAATTAGCCAGGCGTGGTGGCGGGCACCTGTAATCCCAGCTACTTGGGAGGCTGAGGCGGGAGAATTGCTTGAACCCTGAGGCGAAGGTTGCAGTGAGCCGAGATCGCGCTGCTGCATTCCAGCCTGGGCAACGAGACTTTGTTTAGATCTTTATTCAAGCAGACGAACCCTAAAAAGGCATTTTTCAGGAAAATGAGAAAATTTGAAGATGGACTGCATATTAGAGGATCTTAAGGAATGGTTCATTTTATTAGGTATGGTGATGATGTTGGGCTTATTTTTAGAAATGTGCTAGTGTGTGAGAGATACATTCTGAAATATTAATGGGTGAAATGATCTGATGTCTGACATTTTTGTTAAAAAGGGGCTTGAGGGAGGAATGGAATGAGAATGGCAAAGTGGGTATGGCAGTTAGAGCTGGGTGATGGGTGCGTGGGAGTGCCTCATACCAGTCCCTCTACTTCTGTAGGGGTTTGAGACTTTCCATAATAAAAGTAAAATGGAATAAATAAAAGTCGGTCTGTGCATATTTCATTTCTCTGGCTGTGGCCCTCTCCTTCCAGCTCCCCCCTCCTCCACGCCCCACATTCAGGCCCAGAGAACATCTGTTTTTACCAGGCACAGCTGTCCTGGCCCCACTTCCTGTTAGCCCCAAACACCCGGAGAAAGGAAAGCCAGGCCTTGACTCAACTCTGGCTCCTGCCTGATTTGCATTTGGCCTGTTGCCTGGTTTCCCAGAGGCCCACCCTGATTTCTTTGGGTTCTGAGCACTTGTCTCAGCTGCTGTGTAACCCAGGAGCACTTCCCCTGGGCACATTCCTCTCCCTACTCATCCTCCAATAATTGCTCGCCTCCTCTAGCAGGGGTCAGGGAGGTGGAAGTGGGGATGGGATGGGTCCCTGTGTCAGATGCTACATGGGACAATCAGGTGCAAGCCCTGCCCTCAATAGGGAGTCCCAATCCCAGTTGGGACATGATTGAAAACATAGCGGCCGCGCAGTGGCTCACACCTGTAATCCCAGCACTTTGGGAGGCCGAAGCGGGCAGATCACAAGGTCAGGAGTTCGAGACCAGCCTGGCCAATATGGTGACACCCCATCTCTTCTAAAAATACAAAAATTAGCTGGGCGTGGTGGCACATGCCTGTAATCCAAGCTACTCAGGGAGCTGAGGCAGAAGAATCGCTTGAACCCGGGAGGTGGAGATTGCAGTGAGCAGAGATCACGCCACTGCACTCCAGCCCAGGAAACAGAGTGAGACTCCATCTCAAAAAAAAAAAAAAAAAAGAAAAAAGAAAACATAGCACATCATGTAAACAACGATAATCAGCAACCATATGGTGCAGGGAGGGAGGACTACATTCTGGGGGGTTCAGGGCGGGAGGAATCAGGCACATTGATGTGTGAAGTGGCGTTGTGTCTGGGTCCTAGGCCACGAGATCTGAAGGAGCAGAATGTGTCATACTGTGCCTTGCAGATAGGGCCGTGGAGACTCCAAGGAAAGATACAGATGCTGGTTATGGTTATGATAACTACCGTTCTCACATGCCTATGTATCTCATCTTGCAGGATAAAGGCCAGGTATGTGCCTGGTGCTGTGTCTACACAAAGCAGAAGGGGCTGCCTCTCTCCCTCCCTCCCCACGTCTACCCTGCCTGATGCAGCTCTGTGCCTTACAGTATCTGGCACAGTGCTGGGTACATAGCAGGCACTCCATGAAGACCAGCTGATTATTGAGGTCAGTGTTCAAACTCAGTCCAGTACCAAAATGGCTGGATAGAATCACAAGCAGTTAGGATAGTTGGTTAAAACAGATCCCAGGGCTCCATATTAGACCCTCAGAACCCAAATCTTTAAAGAAAGGGCCAGGGAATCTGTATTTTTACCTGCCCCCCACCCAGGAGGTCGTAAGTTGCTGGGTTACAGAAGGAGGTGAGGGAGTTAGAGGATAGTTCAGCACCGCGGACAGAGCCACACTGCCGCTTCCATCGACTCTCTTTCCTGGGACTGACTAGCTGGGGGCAAGGAAGGTCAGTCTCTGTATGTGAAAGGGATCCACAGTCTAATCCTGATGGGGGCCAGGTGACACCTGTGGTCTTGACCCCCACATGACGCAGCCCCGGTCCCTGCTTCGGGAGCAAGTTTCAGGGAGGACAATGGTCTCGCTGCAGAGACAGCTTCGACTGCACAGGGAGGGGCCGTATAATAAATATCCCCTCGATCTCTTTTATAAGTTGTAAGTGACCCCCATACTGTGCAAGCAGCAAAGCATGAAGCCTGAGCCTGTGTGAACAGATTAATCCCCCAAACATGGTTTGAGCACCTACTGTGTTCAAGGGCTGTGCTGGTAGCCACAGGGCATGTAGGGATGAGAGAGAGATACAGCCGCCGCCTCAAGCCACCTGCAGCTTGTCAAACATGGTTCATTGGTTGTTAGAAAGGAGAGCAGCCTTGAAGATAACCAGACCCTGAGTCCAGTCAGTGTGCGTGTTAGAGAGGCAGCCAGGGGAGTGGAGAGAACAGACATTTGGTGGCAGAGGCTTCCTGCATTTGAGAACTGGCACTGACAAGCTGCGTGGCCTTGTGCATGTGGCTTCACTCTCAGAGCCTCGGTTTCCTGATCTGAGAACTGGGAGTGACTGCATCCCTCCCTCTATCCCTGCCCCGCCCCCCAGCATGTACTAGGAAAGTGCCCACCTGGCCTGGTTCCCAGGACCCAGCCTGAGCACCATTCATTTACTCATAGACTCTGCATTTGCTGAAGACCCATTATATGCCAGTTACAGTGCCAGACACGGACAATAAGGTGGATGAGAGCTAGCACCCTGGGATCTGATACTGGGAGAGTAGGCAGACATGGCTCCTCCTCTTTTTCTCCTGAGCCCCCAGCTGGGCGACGTTTCTAGCTTCCCTTGCAGTAAGGGTGGCCATGTGACTGAGTTCTGCCTGATGGATGTGCCCCACTTGCAGGGCTGGCCCATAAAGCCCTCCCCCATGAGGTGATCTCTTTTCGTCTCCTTCCCTGGCTGGTGAGAGAAGCCTCTGGGTGCAAGAAGGGCAGAGCCTGGAGGCGGGAGGGGCCCAGGACCCGAAACAGCAGGAGGAAGTCTGTTCACCAAATAGTGGCACTGAACTGTTGCAAGCAGCAGAAACATACTAGTGTTGAGTTGAGGCCCTAAATTTTGGGGTGTTTGTTGCAGCACTTAGCCTGTCCTGACAAACACAGAGAGACAGACATCAAGCAGGTGCAAACAAGCAGGAATTTCAGAGACGATGGGGTGATGAAGGAAATAAACAGGAAGGGGACAGTGGAGAATCCTTGGGGAGGATACATTATGGATTTCTTTGCTTTTCTTTTTTATGAGACAGAGTCTTGCTCTGTCACCCAGGCTGGAGTGCAGTGGCACGATCTTGGCTCACTGCAACCTCTGTCACCCGGGTTCAAGCGATTCTCCTGTCTCAGCCTCCTGAGTAGCTGGGATTACAGGCGCCCACCACCATGCCTGGCTAATTTTTGTATTTTTAGTAGAGAAAGGGTTTCACCATCTTGGCCAGGCTGGTCTTGAACTCCTGACCTCAGGTGATCCACCCGCCTTGGCTTCCCAAAGTACTGGGATTACAGGTGTGAGCCACTGCACCCGGCCCTAGACTTCCACGCTTTAAAAAATGACATTATTAATTTTTAAAAATTGCATTAAAATATATATAACAAAATTTACCATTTTAACCATTTTAACCATTTTTTTTTTTTTTAAAGAGACGAGGTCTCACTCTGTTGCCCAAGCTGGAGTGCAGTGGCATAATCAGAGCTCACTGCTGCCTTGAATTCCTGGGTTCAAGTCATTCTCTCACCTCAGCCTCCTGAGTAGCTGGAACTATAGGGGCATGCCACCACACCCTGGCTAATTTAAATCTACATTTTTTTTTTTTTTTTTTTGTAGAGACAGGGTCTTGCCATTTTGCCCAGGCTCGTCTTGAACTCCTGGGCTCAAGCGATCCTCCTGCCAAAGCAATCCTCCTGTGCTTGGCCTTTAACCACTTTTAAGTGTACAATTCAGTGGCATTGATTTTATTCACAATGTTGTGTGACCATCACCACAACTTTTTTGTAATGTTTAATCATAATGTTTTCAAGGGTCATCCATGTTTGTAGCATATATCAGCACCTCATTCCTTTTTATGGCAGCATACTATTCCATAGAATGGATATGTCTCAGTTTGCTCCTGCATTCATGTCAATGGATATTTGGCTTGCTTCCATCTTTTGGCTATTGCGAATAATGCTGGTATGAACGTGGGTATACAGATATCTGTCTAAGTCCCCACTTTCAAGTTTTTCAGGGCATATAGCCAGAATTGCTAGATCATATGGGAATTCTATGTTTAATTTTTTTGAGGACCTGCTGTACTGTTTTCCATAGGAGAGCATCATGTTATATTCTTACCAGCAATGCACAAGTGTTCTAATTTCTCCACATCATGGCCAACAATTATTTTCTTTTCTTTTTTTTTTTTTTCCTGAGACTGAGTCTCACTCTTTCACCCAGGCTAGAGTGCAGTGCCATGATCTCAGCTCACTGCAACCTCTACCTCCTGTGTTCAAGTGATTCTCCTGCCTCAGCCTCCCGAGTAGCTGGGACTACAGGTGAGTGCCACCGCACCTGGCTAATTTTTGCAATTTTAGTAGAGACAGGGTCTCACTATGTTGGCCAGGCTGGTCTCGAACTCCTGGCCTCAGGTGATCCGCCTGCCTCAGCCTCCCAAAGTGCTGGGATTACAGGCGTGAGCCACCACACTTGCCTGTTTTTCTTTTTTAAAATAGCCATCGTCTTGGGTATGAAGTGGCACCTCATTGTGGTTTTGATTGGCATTCCCCTAATGATTAGGGATGTTGAACATCTTTGCAGGTGTTATTGGCCACCCATTGTATAATTTCTTTGGAGAAATGTCTATTCAACTCTTTTGCCCAGTTTTTATTCAGGTGGTTTTGTTGTTGTTGTTGAGTCCTCATTCTTTTTTTTGACAGCCTCATGGTATTCCACGTAATAGATGTACAGTTTTCTATTGACCAGTCAGTCCTCTATGGATGGGCATTTGGATGGTTTTCCCAATCATGTGCTTTTCAAACAATGCTACAGTGAATTTTCTCATACACGTGTTATTAAGTGCAGATGTGAGTATATTGGAGGATTGGTGGATTAAAGAGAAGGTGCATCTGTGGCCGGGCGCAGTGGCTCACGCCTGTAATCTCAGCACTTTGGGAAGCCGAGGCGGGTGGATCACGAGGTCAGGAGTTCAAGACCAGCCTGACCAACATGGTGAAACCGTGTCCCTATTAAAAATACAAAAAAAATTAGCCAGGCGTGGTGGTGTGCACCTGTAATCCCAGCTATTCAGGAGACTGAGGCAGGAGAATCACTTCAACCCGGGAGGCGGAGGTTGCAGTAAGCCAAGATCGCACCATTGCACTCCAGCCTAGGTGACAGAGTGAGACTCCATCTCCAAAAAAAAAAAAAAAAAAAAAAAGAAGGTGTATTTATCATTTCGGTAGACGCTGTCCAATTGTCCTTGAGAGTGAATGTGTTCCTTTTTATTCCCACCAGTCATGTAAGAGAGCATGGCGCGGCTATAAAACAAACACGTATGTTTTCGGCATCGTGCCAAAGATTTCGTCTTCCCTGGGGAAGCTAATCTGACATTTCCTCATACTGATGAAAACATTGGCCTAACATTGCACTCTGTCAAGGGATTTGCAACTTAATTGCATTTTGTTCATAAAACAATTAATATTGCATAACTTGCCATCAACAGAACTAATTTTGACCCTGCACTATGACAAATCTATTCATGCTTTATGTTTTAAAAATCCGCTCAAAGCTAAAAAAAAAAAGCTACTATTCGAATACCATTAAGCTGATATCAAAACTCAGACTCGATTGCAACGTGTCTCCCAACCTTTCCAAATAGCACAACATTTATTTTTCTCAATTCCTTTCCAGAGGTATATCCATGAAAATTCATGAGTGGGAATTCTTTTATCAAGAGTATCTAACAAGATAAGGGAACAACTCACATATCAAATATTAACTCAGCCTGAACATATGATACTATACGTGGATTTAGAGAAGCAGACAGCAGCTCTTTACCAAGCCCACACCAAACCACATGCTCCTCCAACTGTAATCAAGAAAGTAACTGAAATTGTTTGGGCAAATCAGGGCCTAATTAAAAGAGATAAACAGATGATAACCCCATTAACTCCATTATACGAATATATGTTTATAATGAACCAGTCACAGTTTTCAAGAAGAAGGCGGATGTTCTCAAGGGGTAAAAAGTCTCATAAATGAGGTACTAACTTGTAAATAAACTCAGGACAGCAAATTCTATATGTTCTGTAAGCAGCTAATGTGATATTTATATTAACTATAATAAAGATACATGCCAAGTAAAACATGAGGTGCAGGTGAATAAATGAGACATTCTTAATCAGTATAGATTAAAGCCATAGTAAATACACATTAGCTTTGTACTTAGTGTCAATCTAGAAGCTGGTCTACATAAATATCAGCTAACTTCTCTTTCCTTGCATGAAACCTTCAAGTTCACCTAGTTCAACCTCTCTCCCAGCGGAGGAATCCCAGGTCGCCTAACCACAGTTCGCCTTTCTCCAATGACGGTAGTTTCACTATTTCAAAAGGCAGTGAATCCATGCTGCTTCTGATTCGCTGCCCAAATTGGGAGCCGGTGATTTTCTCCTCCTCTGAGGGTTGTCCAGGGTGCACCATCTTCCTCCCCAGCCCCCTGAGATTCAGAGACACAGAGTCACCCAGAGATAATCTTTAAAGCTCCCCAGGTGATGGCAAGGTACAGCTAAGTGTGGGACCTACTGCCCTATAATGATCATCCATGATCTGCCTTGTCAGCTGTACATGCATTTGTTTATTCTTCATTCATTACTAGCATTTATTGAATACCCACGCTAGGAGCTGAGAGTACATACATGTTATTTACCTAATGTCTTTCTTTACATGGACCCTTTTGTATCTAAAGACATTCGTTTTAAATATTAATGAATCTGATGGATCAGATACAATCAAACTAGATACATAACTCTTAAAGAAGTTCATCGCTATTATCTAAAAATTACCCTGATAGTTTACTAGTGTTATTCACATGACCTTTTAGGAAATAATGAGTTCATTCATTCCTTCATTCACTCATTCCTTTCTTCCTCCCTCCCACATATGCTAAGTCTCTCTGACAGTCCATACGCAATGACAGGCACCCTCCCTTGCCCCCTGCTGGAAAATGCTCAGTGTCTACCTGCCACCCACAGTCACACCCCCTGCTGCTGGAACAGGAATGGAGCTGTTCCCAGCTTCTTTGGGCCTTTATGAAGCACATTCTTAGGGCTCTGTGCTCCTCCCACAGGTGCCCACCCTTTCCTTCACCCAGCCAGGCAGTCCTGGAGGTGTGTGTGGGGAATGCTGCTACCTGGCTGGATCCGGGGTAGGAGTCCCAGTGGACAGTGCAGAACATCACCAGCAGGGGGCACTCATGCATCACCACTGGCTTCTCACCTGGCCCAGGGCAAGGCAGGCCTGGCTGGAAGGTTAAGATGACTGGGGTGCCACTGAGGGGACCAGGCTAGGCTTGGGAGGGGCCCTATGGGATAAAAGGGCACGAAAGTGGGCCCCTTGCACTCAGATTCTAAGAAAATCCTCCCCAGCCAGGGGGAAGAAAAGCACACAGCACGTCTCCTTACCAGATTTAACAAACATGACCATCTGGGGGACAGCAGCCATCAGTTAAATAATCCTGCCATTTGGTGAGGGGCAAGGTTGCCTCTCAGGCACATGCTGGTTCTTTGTAGGGAGAGGAGTGGGACAGAGAGCAGACCTTCAGGCCAATGGGGCTCTCCTGGGGACTGGCCCTCATATCCCCACCTCCAGCCCAGCCAGGAGAAGACCAGTCTGGGTGGCCCGGGCCTTCTGCAACTGTCCTTTACCAGTCCCTTGGGCCTCATGTTCCCCTCCTGCAATCATTCCCACCCTACCTGCTTTTCCTGGGAGCATGAAGGTGGAAGTGTGTTGCCAACAGAGGAAAGCCATCTAAACAAAAACAAGGGAATCTAAAATGGAGCTCGCCTGCCCCCATCCTGCCACCCCCTTCCTACTTCGGAATTTGTGTGCATTTGTAATCTGTGAGTCTGTCTCATTGTGCATTGCTGGAGCTGACGATTAGGTGCAGTGGTGGCTCTCGCCTTGCCCTCTGATGACTTTTCCCTAATTGGTTTAATCTGTATTTTCACGCACTCACTGGAAAATGAGAAGAGCCGCCAGCTTCTCCGAGGAGCTGGGATGAGGCGTGAACCCTACGAGAAGGGTCGCGGGGGTTTGCGGCTCCTGCCATGGGGGCTGGGGAGGTCACAGGAAAATGGCAGACTGTCCTTGTTCTTGGGTACTCACAGTCCCCGGGCGAGGAGGGGCACGAATGGAGGAGGTACAGAAGGCGAAAACGTACTGGGGGCCTGCGTACCTGGGAAAGGAGAGGTGGGGAGAGGAAACCCTGACTGGGGTTGGCTCCCCCCGGGCAGAATGTCTGTCCGTTCAGGGGCAGGAACGGGGGCACCCAGGCAGAGAGATCCCAGGGGCAGAGTGTGAGTATCTCAGTGCCAGCTACTTGTGTTTCTGTGGCTTTCTCTGGGATAGGACAATTCTGTGGACCTCTCTCTGGATTTGTCATGACTTTGGGAAGACAGCTCGGTGGGTGTCTGAGTCTAGTGTGTTGTCTGTGTGTATGAGTGCATGAGTGAGTGTGTATGTGTGTGAGTTGGGTGTGACCACTGGTGGCTGCTAACTCTCTATTGCATTCGGCTTCCAGCCCTGCAGGGTTTCCTTGTTGAACCTCTGGGGATCCTGCCTTGGGACAGAGGTGGCTAATGCAGCAGGGGGCGGGGGTGGGGCTAGCCTAGATAGAGGCTTAAGCCCCTACTGCTGGGGTAAAGCGATTACCAGCGTGTGTGTGTGTGTGTGTGTGTGCGCGCGCGCGCACGCGTATGTGTGTGTGCGCCTTTAGTGGCTGCAGAATCCTCAACCACCCTGAGAGGGTCCAAATACTTGCCCCTGGCCTTCCCTCCCTTTCCTTGCCATGATTCGCAGCCCCCCAGCTGACCTCGATATGTTCATTTACTCTAAGACGCTGTGCTCTGAAATTGCTTCTCCTCCTCGGAGTTCTCTGGCTCTGATAGTGAAATTTCCACTAGTGTCAGAGGGGAGACAGTTTGGGATGTGGGGAGCTTCTTGATGCTGCCTTAGAGACATGTACAAATTGGGACCCTTGACCTTGCGTTTGACAAGTGAATCACTTATAATCACCACTTATTTTTACTTGCATCAACCTCACCAAGACGAAGAGCTTTGGGTTGCTCCTTCTGGCGCCAGGAGCCCCTACGCAGGGTTAATGATGATAAGAGAAGTGAGTGTGACTCAGCAGATGGAATGTTCCAATGCTGGTGAGTAAATTCAGTTTCCTATAACAAACAGACAATAAGGAAATTAGGTTCTCACCGTGAACCTGAGAATGGTGCTGATCCTTAATAGCCCCTCCTGTGTAGCAGGCACCGCTGTAAGCTCTTCCCAGATCAGCCGCCCTCTGTTGCCCATTTCACAGATGAAGAAACTAAGGCACAAAGAAGTGAAGTAATTTGCCCTGAGATTAACCAGTTCACGGAGCAGGGATGTGAGCCCAGGCAGTCTAGGGTCCTTGCCAAGTACCCAGCCACTGTGCCCTGCATTGCAGGGCAGCCCCGCACGTGGTCACAGTGTGGAATTCATGGTGTTTCCTGCAGCAGAGCCGCAAACCTTAGTCTTACCGGAGAGCTTCTTGCCAGCGACTTGATTTCACATGGCAAAGAAAGAGTAGGACAGGTTTAAAAGAGGCTTTTACTATACCCAACTGGTATTCACTTCGTGTGTCTGTTCTCTGTGGTTTGTAAATATTCTCCGGCTTCCCCTTGATCTCTACAGCAGGGCACGCTGTCCATGACAGCACTTTGCTTTCTCAACAGCGCTCGTGTCACCAGCTCGAGCCGCAGCCATCTGCATGGAGCACTGTTGACATTGCAGCCGTGGGGCCCACTCCAGGTCTGGCAGAGGCTGACTCACAGCGTCAGGGGGCTGGGAATGGAATGCTGGTCTTTTGGGCATCACGGACATCACAGAGGGAGGAAGGGAGGCTGGGGGTGCATCTGTAAAACGGGGGTGCAAGGGGCAGGGGTTGTACAGTGGTATCTACCTCACGGGGTTTGGGTATCAGTCAGGGCTTATTTCCCTTTGCTGAGAACAGAGGCTGGAAATATTGATAATAGTGGTTTAAACCATATCCAGACTTCTCACTCTCTCACCTAACACGTCGGGGGTAGGCGTCCTGGGTTGGTGGGGGCCCCAATGGTGTCTTCAGGGACCCAGGCTCCTCTCTTTCAGTCCCACCCGCCTTAGCAGCCAGCTTCCATCCTCAAGGTCACCTCATGATCCAAGATGGCTGCTGGGCCTCCATCATCACGTCTAACTTTCAGCAGGGACTGGGCACACACTGGCCCCAATGTTCCCTTCTGTCCCACCTGACAGCTTACACTTGGCCCTCAGTGGCCACTCCTAGCTGCAAGGGAGGCTGAGAAACGGAACCTTTTGGCCAGGCACATTGCCATCCAAGTGTTTGTTGCTAAGGCAGGTGGGAGACAGGATATGGTAGGGGCCCCCCACAGTCTCTGCCACAGCACGCAGTAGACTCCTGTGCACCGCAAGGTACAACCTGTCTATTTTTCCAAGTGCTGTGACTGTTTCAGCTCAAACAGCCAGATAGGTGAGGGGGAAGGAGTCCCACAGGCGAGCACTGGAAACCCACCCCTTCAGCTGATTGCAAGTTCGGGGTTTTATTTCTCCTTTAGTATCCTGTGGCAGTTCCAGCCTTGGGGAGGGAGGTTCTGCTTTCCTGGGGAGGCAGGTTCTCCAAGACTGCTGGACAGTCATGGAGGGGTCTAAGGAGAGAAGGAGAAGGCTGCCAGGCATGGGGCTCTGTGCCTTGCAGGTATGTTCCGAGAGGAGCTGTGGCGATAGCAGTGGCAGTACAGTCATCTGGCACTGCAGGCATCGCTCTGAGTTGGCAGGTCTGGGTGGTCCACCTGGGAGGTCAGGATAGAGGGACCCTGGGGTCTTGCAGATGCGGTGACCCGCAGGTGGCAGGCCGCCTGGAATGGCTTCCTGAGATTCTGCGGCAGGGCCAGTGACCAAGCCCATGCTCCTGGCTCCTCACCCTTTCTGCTGGGCCCTGGGAGAGTGCCATGAGGGTTGTGACAATGAGAGGGAACATTTAATCATGAAGGGACATTCGCCTCCATTTTCCCATTGGTCCTCTCCACATTGGGTAGGGTGGGCAGAAATTTTCATCCCCGTTTTACAGATGGGGAGACTGTGGAGATGCAGAGGCTGAGGGAGGCTAAAGAATGAGGTGGAAGTCACACGCGGCAGAGCTGGGCTGGGTCCCTGCGTCCTTTATTCCTGAGGGGGTGGGGGATGGCCTGAGTGCATTTCCTAATGTTGTGCCTTTTCTTTTTTACTTTAACTTAAAAAAAAAAACAACAACTGAGGTATAGTGTACATACAGAAAAGCAAAGAAAATGCATGGGTTTTAAGTGTTTAGTTCGATGATATACATACATTTATCAAACATGCCCAGCATTCCAAAAAGGTCCCTTTTGGCTGGGCATGGTGGCTCATGCCTGTAATCTCAGCACTTTGGGAGGATGAGGCAGGTGGATCAACTGAGGTCAGGAGTTCAAGACCAGCCTGGCCAACACAGTGAAACCCCACCTCTACTAAAAATACAAAAAATTAGCTGGGCGTCTGTAATCCCAGCTACTTGGGAGGCTGAAGCAGGAGAATCACTTGAACCGGGGAGGCGGAGCTTGCAGTGAGCTGAGACTGCACCATTGCACTCCAGCCTGGGCGACAGAGCCAGACTCCATCTCAAAAAAAAAACCAAAAACCAAAAAACAAAAACAAAACCCCAAAAAGTTTCCTTTTGTGTCCCTTCCCAGTCACTGACCTCCCATTCCACAAAGGTAACCACTTTTCTAATCCCTATCACTAGAAATTGGTTTTTCCTGTTCTTACACCTCAAATAAATAGATTCATAAAGTGCGTTCTCTTGCTTCTTGGACTTAGCATAAGCCTTGTGAGATTCATCCGGGTTGTGGTTTGTATGTCAGGAATTGATCCTTTTTTTTTTTTTTTTGAAACGGAGTCTTGCTCTGTCACCCAGGCTGGAGTGCAGTGGCATGATCTCAGCTCGCTGCAAACTCCGCCTCCCGCGTTCATGCTATTCTCCTGCCTCAGCCTCCTGAGTAGCTGGGACTACAGGTGCCTGCCACCACACCTGGCTAATTTTTTGTATTTTTAGTAGAGATGGGGTTTCACCGTGTTAGCCAGGCTGGTCTCAATCTCCTGACATTGTGATCCACCTGCCTTGGCCTCCCAAAGTGCTGGGATTACAGGCGTGAGCCACAGCGCCGGGCCTGGAATTGATCCTTTTTTTTTTTTTTTTTTTTTTTTTTTTATCACTGACTGGAACTCCACTGTGGGGATAGACCAGAATTTGTTTATTCATTCACCTGTTGATGGACATTTGGGTTGTTTTCTGTTTGGGACTAAAATTAGTCAGTGAGAATTTGCATTCATTGTGTACACATATGCTTTCATTTCTTCTTTTTCTTCTTCTTTTTTTGAGGCAGGGTCTCACTCTGTTGCCTAGGCTGGAGTGCAGTGACAAGTGGCACAATCTTGGCTCACTGCAGCCTCGACCTCCTGGGCTCAAACGATCCTCCCACCTCAGCCTCCTGAGTAGCTGGAACTACAGGCGCATACCACCACACCCAGCTAATTTCTTTTTACGTTTCTTTTGTGGAGATGGGATCTTACTCTGTTGACTAGGCTGATTTCAAACACCTGGCCTCAAGTGATCCTTGTGCCTTGGCCTCCCAAAGTGCTGGGATTACAGGTGTGAGCCGCAGTGTCTGGCCTGCTTTCATTTATCTTGTGTAAATACCTAGGAGTGGAATGGTTAGGTTATAGAATAGGTGTTTATTTAGTTTTTTTCAGCGTCTTAGTCCCTTCCTCTTGCTACAACAAAATATCTGAGATGGGGTAATTCATATAAGAGAAATGTATTTCCCATAGTTCTGGAGGCTGGGAAGTCCAAGATCAAGATGCCTGCAAATTCAGTGTCAGGTGAGGGCCTGGGCTTTCTTATTACATCCTCACATGGTGGAAGGGACAAAAAGGGACAAACAGTTCCCTTGAACCTCCTCTATAAAAGCATGATTCCCATCCAGAAGGGCTCCACCCTCATGGCTTCCTCACCTCCTAAAGGTCTCATTTCTTAGTCCTCTCATATTGACAACTATGAATTTTGGAGGGGACACATACCTTCAAACCATAGCAGGAAGAAACTGCCAAACAGTTTTTCAAAGTGGCTGAACCATTTACACTCCCACTCACTGTATAAGAAAGTTGATCCTCATCCTTCCAACATTTGATGTTTTTGTTCTTTTAAATGTTGCCAGTCTGGCGAGTGTGAATGACAGCTTGAGGTAATTTCAAGTTGTGTATCTCTGCTGCTTGCTCATGGTTGGTGTCTTTTTCAAGTATATATTGAGCATTTTGATACTCTCTTTTGTGAAGTGCCTGTTCATATCTTTTGCCCACTTAAAAATTGTTTTTTTTTCTTATTGATTTGTAGGAGTCCTTTATTTATGCTGGCTACTAGTCCTTTCTCAGATATATGTACTGAAATATCTTTTCTGCATGTGTGGATTGATTTTTCTTTCTCTTGATGGTGTATTTTGCTGAACATAAGTTTTTAATTGTAAGGAAGCCCAATTTGTAATTTTTTCCTTTTATGTCTAATGCTTTTCATGTCTTGTTTAAGCAAGCTTTGCCTATCAAAGTGGATTCCTTTTAACAAGTGAATCTCCCTTGCCTCACCCCATCTGGCTGCTCTCTCTGCCTCCTCATGCCCTATTGGATCTGCCTCCCAGCCCAGTGCTCCCAGAAGCAGGAGTGGGGAAGGTGGAAATGGTATGGGAGATCTGTGGCAAAGTGAAAGGCAAAGCCTAGATTACCCCCTCCCCAGGAAAGGAGATCTGTATCTCCCACCCCCTTCCTTCCCCTGTACAGATTTGGGTTTATGTTGGGCTGCAAGATTAAAGCCAAAGAGATTAAAAGATTACCTCTGGCCAGGAAGGCAAATTCTGCCTCTTTGCTCTTGGAGCTGGTTTGGGGGGAATCGGGGAGGAAGGAGGGCGGGTGGTGGCCATGATGGAGCCGCCTCCACCTCCAGATCCCCTCCTCCGACTTCCTGCTGAGAACCCCTCCCCGTGGTAGACTGAGGCCTAGGCCACCCTTACTGGGTGTGGCCTTGGGCACAAGCTCACCTTTCTGGGCCTCAGTTCTTAAGATGTAGAGTGGTGAGGGGGCTGAGCTGGATCAGCGACACCAACATGGGCTCTAGTGGGTTCTGAGTGTGGCCCCTGGACCAGTGTCCCAGCATCAGCCAGTAACTTGTTAGAAATGCAACCTTGGGCCCTTCTCCAGGCCTACTGAGACAGGAACTCAGGGGGCAGCAATCAGGGTTTGAAAAGCCTCCAGCGAATGAACACGAAGATCTGAGAGCCAGTGTCTTTAATAATGATAACACTTGATAATATTTAGAGCATTTAACTCTATAATCCCCAGTGACTCTTCTAAAGAATATGTATCTGTTGATTAGGATGCAGGTCCTGTAACTCACCCTGCTTTGCACATGAGGAAACTGAGGCACAGAGAGGGGAAGCAGCTTGCCCATGGTGAAACAGCTACTATGGGGCAGAGCCTGAAATTGGACTGGGGAGGCTGGCCGCAGAGGCTGAACTACTGACTGCTGCGCTGTGTGGCGTCGAGTTCCCAGGGCCTTCACAGACACCCACAGCCTTCATCAGCTTCTCCAAGGGGTGGGGGGCTCCAAAAGGCTGATCTCTAAAAGGGGTCCCTAGCACTCAAGGCCCTTTCCTGGCCTCCTTCCAGAGCTACTTGAGATCTGCTCGGACCAGGAAGGACACCTTCCTGCTTCCTCTCCTTGTCTTTGGGGGCTGCTAGGAAACCCCGTGGCTGAGGCTGCGACAGAGACACACAGTGCTAGATGTCTCGGAGATTCATCCACGCCTCAGGTCCTATTTCCTCACTCAGTATTTAGTGAGACCCAGCCAGAGAGGGGTAGAGGCTGGCAGAAAGCTGGAAGCTGAGAGAAGGCAAAAAGGGGAAGAGAAAAGCTTTCTATTAATTTTATGATCCTCGCTGCTAGCCCCCTCCTGCCGCTAGGGATGGTGAACTTCCCCCTCTCCCCTCGATGCTGAAAAGCGATCAAGGAACAGCCACGGCAGAGATGAGGGAGCTGATTTATGGGGCAGCCCTGGGAGCAGGAGTGAGCACGCTGGCTGGGAGGCAGCCATCCATCATGGCTCCCTGGAGAGCAGAGAGGGCCTTGGTGCCCAGCTCCACCGCCTGCTCCTGCCCGGCCCCCGCCTGTGCCCCCACTGGGTCACCTGTCCTGCCCTGTTCTCTGCCAGGTCACCAAGGGCCCTGCTTTCAGGGAGGGGACCTTGCCTCAGAAGCTTTGGGGCCACCAGCGCCTGTGCCTCTCACTTTCCTTCCTCAGTTCTCTTGGGCCTGCAGCCCCTTTGTACCTTGGAGTGAGGTGGGTTGGGAGGAAGGACCCCTGGGGAGGATGCTGGGCAAGTCCCTTCTCTAGATCTCAGTCTCCTCATCTGTAAAACGAGGGCTTCAGCCCAGCCCAGCCCATCCCAGCCAGCCTCCCAGGGCGGGTTGTAGAGGGGAATGGCGTGGCTGTGAGCTGTGAAATGTGAGGCTGTAACGAGGCCCTCGCCTCTTACGGCTGTATTCCTGCATGTGTGCTGGGCTGCGGGGGCGGAGGGTCTGAGTGCGTGCTTTGTATGCCACACCTCTCTGTATGTGCAGGTGTGTTCACCTGTGCATATGCACAGTGAGTCCAAGCTGCCGACGCACGCAAGGTGCATGTGCGTGCGTGTGTGCAACTGCACTGACAGCCGGGAGCGGCAGCTTCCGTGTAGCTCCTCCCCTGCCCACCTGGGAGGACCCCTCTGGAGGGGTGGTGGGGGCGTGGCTGGGTGTTCATGCCCAGGCCCATCCAGCTGGTTGTTTATTGATTAATTCTGCTGCCAGCTGATGAATGCCAAGCCTGTGCCAGGCGCAGGCCCTGGGCTGATTTACATAATTAAAAACCATCAGTAACAAAGCCAGGCCTCACCCACCAACTGCTTCCTCCAGCATGACAACAGGCTGGGCCTCCCTCCAGCACCCCACCCTGTCCTCTGTACCCCAAGGCTTTTCTTGCCCCCCCGATCCCTCAGCCTCCCTGCCTGCCCTGCTCTGTGACACCAGCTGTTGTCCAGTCAGTGATGGAGAGAGTGCAGCATCGTAGGATTCTCCAGTCACTGACTTCGAGATTCTATTAGTCGGTGGCTCTGAGGTTCTTTGATGGAGAGTCTCAGATTATAAGATTCAGCCATGAGCCTCCCAGAATGTGATTTTTCAAGAGTCTATTACTCTATGTGACAAAGGGGAAAAATGTTTGTTCTTAGCAGCCCTGACTGCTCACGGGGAGTGAGAGGGCCTGGCTTTCTGTGGAGGCCGCCATGGTAGGTTGGGCATATCAGCCACTGCTTTCCGGAAGGAAGAGAAATTTGTTGCTGCAGAGGGTGGGGTGGGCACTGCAGGGATCTGGGCAGAAGGAAGGGGGACCCAGAGACAGCCTGAGGGGGCTAGATGGAGGGATATTGATGAGAGGACTTGGAAACCCCCCTGAGAGGACTTGGAAACCTCCGATTCTGTGGAATGTGTGTCAGTCCCTTCCCACGTCTCACCTTCAGGATCCTCAGAGAAGGCTTGTGCATGTAGAGAGGCAGTTTGGGGTGGCGAGTGTGGGCTCCTTCACTCCCCAGCTGTGTGATCCTGGGGAAGCTACTCAGCCTCTCTGAGCTGCGGTCACCTTACCTGTAAAGTAGCGCAGGTGGTGAGAATTCATCATCTAGGTAAAGCGCTCAGAATGAAGCCGGCATGGGGTGAACCCCGCATGCATGGTGGCTATGATTGAGTGGCAGTGGTTCTTTTGGGGAGACCTTTGGCAGGCTGCTTAGACTCGGTGAAAGTAGAGACACACAAGAGTGGGCACAGGGCAGGGCTGGGTCATTCCATCCCCATAGGCCCCGCTCCCAGCTGGCATCCCAGTGCTCAGTGGATGTTTGTTGAATGAGTGAATGGTTTTCTCTTCTCTCAGCCCTTCCTATTGACTGCACCAGCCCCAGTCAGGCAGGTAGGGGATCTGGGACTTTTGTCCTCTCTCCAGTGGGTCCCCAGGTCTTGCTCTTTCCTCCTCCATCTGTCCCCATCTCCACTTCTTCCTCTCCATTCCCACAGTCCCAGCTCCATGGCTGCAGCTGCTGGTGGTGGTGAGTTCTTGCCCCTCCCTAGCTGCCTAGCCTCTGGCAGCCTTCCTCCCAAGCAGTGTGGAGAAGACAGGGCAGGCTGAGCCCACGTACACCATGGTGGTCTGGAAGTGAATTCACAGATCCTGTCTCTCTGAACCTCAGAATGGAATGCCACAGGTCTTAATCCTAGCATGAAAAGATCTTAGAATTTCAGCCTTCAGTTGCAGAATCTTAGAATTGAAACACTCCAGAGGAGCATCGCGTAAACTTGTGACCTTTTGGACTACAGGATGGCACAGGGTGCCCGTGTGCACCACCAATTAGGTAAACTCAGATTTGTCATCATTAAAAAATCTAAATTGGGCTGGGCGCAGTGGCTCACGCCTGTAATCTCAGCGCTTTGGGAGGCCGAGACAGGCAGATCACAAGGTCAGGAGATCGAGACCATCCTGACTAACACCGTGAAACCCCATCTCTACTAAAAAATACAAAAAAATAGCCAGGCGTGGTGGCAGGCGTCTGTAGTCCCAGCTACTCGGGAGGCTAAGGCAGGAGAATGGCGTGAACCCGGGAGGTGGAGCTTGTAGTGAGCCGAGATCGTGCCAGTGCACTCCAGCCTGGGCGACAGAGTGAGATTCCGTCTCAAAAAAAAAAAAAAAAAAAAAAAAAAAACTAAATCAAATATAACATGTAAAATTAATAATAGAACGTAGATGGCGCAACTGCTGTGGAAGACAGTTTAGCAGTTCCTTAAAAAGTTAAATATAGGGCCGGGTGTGGCGGCTCATGTTTGTAATCCCAGCACTTTGGGAGTCTGAGGGGGGTGGATCACTTGCGGTCAGGAGTTCAAGACCAGCCTGGCCAACATGGCAAGACCCTGTCTCTACTAAAAATACAAAAATTAGTCAGGCGTGGTGGCGGGTGCCTGTAATCTCAGCTACTCAGGAGGCTGAGGCAGGAGAATTGCCTGAACCGGGAGGTGGAGGTTGCAGTGAGCCGAGATCGTGCCACTGCACTCCAGCCTGGGCAACAGAGTAAGACTCCATCTCAAAAAAAAAAAAAAAAGTTAAATATAGAATCATCATATGATCCTGCAGTCCCACTCCTAGACACATAAGGGACTGGGAGCAGGAACTCAAACAGATGTGTCCACCTATGTTTGTGGCAGCCTTGTTCACAATAGCCAAAGGTGGAAACAGCCCAAGTATTCATCAACACAGGGCGGACTAACAAAATGCGATGTAGACATGCAGTGGAGTATTATTCAGCCTGAAAAAGGAAAGTCTGATGCATGCTACAACATGAGTGAACCTCGAAAATATTATGCTAAGTGAAAGAAACCGGACATAAAAGGACAAATATTGACCAGGTGCAGTGGCTCATGCCTATAATCTGAGCACTTTGGGAGGCGAAGGCAGGTGGATCACTTGAGGTCAGGAGTTCGAGATCAGCCTGGCTAACATGGCGAAACCCTGTCTCTACTAAAAATACAAAAATTAGCCAGGGGTGGTGGCGGGCGCCTGTAATCCCAGCTACTTGGGAGGCTGAGGCAGGAGAATCGCTCGAACCCAAGAGGTGGAGATTGCAGTGAGCCGAGATCGCACCACTGTACTGCAGCCTGGGTGATAGAATGGGACTCCATCTCAAAAAAAAAAAAAAAAAAAGGACAAATATTGTATGACTCCATGCATATAAAGTACCTAGAATAGCGAAATTCATGGAGATAGTTGAACAGAGGTTATCAGGGGTTACCTGGGGCAGTGGGGAGGGAGAACTGGGGAATTATCGTTGAATGGGTACAGAGTTTATGTTGGGGATGATGAAAAAGGCGTGGAAATGGACTGGACAGTGGTGATGTTTGCACAATAACACGAACGTACTAAATGCCAGTGAACTGTGTATTTAAAAATGATGAAAATGGGCCGGCGCAGTGGCTCACGCCTGTAATCCCAGCAGCACTTTGGGAGGCCAAGGTGGGTGGACCACCTGAGGTCAGGAGTTCAAGACCAGCCTGAGCAACATGGTAAAACCCCGTCTCTACTAAAAATACAAAAATAAGCTGGGCTGGTGGCACACACCTGTTATCCCAGGTACGCAGGAGGCTGAGGCAGGAGAATCGCTTGAACCCGGGAGGTGGACGTTGCAGTGAGCCGAGATCGCACCATTGCACTCCAGCCTGGGTGACAGAGCGAGACTCCATCTCAAAAACAAACAAACAAAAGTTAAAAAGGTTAAAAATGGTAAGCTTTACGTTGTGTATATTTTATCACAATTTTTTTGTTTGTTTTTTATTTTGAGACAAGGTCTGGCTCTTTCGCTCAGGCTGGAGTGGAGTGGTACAATCTTGGCTCACTGCAATCTCTGCCTCCTGGGCTCAAGCCATTCTCCAACCTCAGCCTCCCAGGTAGCTGGGATTACAGGCACGTACCACCATGCCCGGCTAATTTTTTTTTTTTTTTTTTGTAGAGACGGGGTTTCACCATGTTGCCCAGGCTGGTCTTGTACTCTTGGGCTCAAGCAATCTGCCCACCTTGGCCTCCCAAAGTGCCGGGATTACAGGTGTGAGCCACCATGTTCAGCCCTTTATCACAATTTTTTAAACAAGGTTTTGTGTCACTGAGAGTGATGATTCTGTTTGCAATCCTTCTGTCTTTTTTTTTTTTTTTTTTTCTGTTCACCTTCATGCCTCCAGGCCCTGTGTTCCCAGCGCGTAGTAGGTCCTCAATCATTGTTTGCTGAGTGGACAAATGGTCCCGGCTGTCTTGATGGCAAGCTAGTTCGGCCAGCAGCTCATGTTTCCTATCTAGACAGCTTCTTTCCTTGCACTCTTCATCTCCCCAAAGCCAATAGCCCCTTGCTAGGCTGCAGGCGGTCAGAGATGGCACCCACAAGTGCCTGTTCTGGGATTTGGGGATTAGACACAGCCTCAGAAGTGACAAAAAGGTGATTTATCATGGAAGCCTCCTTCCAGTACCTGTCAGAAGAGAAGATATCCCACACAGCACACTCAAGAACTGGAAAGTTGTCCAGACAAACGGCCTAGACCCTGCTTTGGTTGTATTTAATATTTCACACTCGAGAGGATTCCTTCTTGTTTGACAGCAGTGCTTGGATGTGGTTTTTAATACGCTCATTGCCGTGTCATTGATTTCTTCCCCCGAGCAGTGGACAAAAACATCTAGTATTGGGACAGAGTCAGGCTGTCGGGGATCAAGAACTTTGCCCCACAGTTTATCAAATGTGAAAAGTGTATTTTAGCTCCAAGGTGACAGAATCAGAATATTCAAGGTGCTGACTGTGTCACTGAGTCATGTTTCTTAAAATCAAAGGAATGGTTTTCAATGGCATTATTGTGTCATACAGATACTTTTTTTTTTTTTTGAGACAGGTTTCATTCACTCTGTCGCCCAGGCTGGAGTACAGTGATGTGGTAATAGCTCACCAAAGCCTTGAACTCCTGGGTTCAAGTGATCCTCCCGCCTTGGTTTCCCAAAGTGCTAGGAATACAGGCGTGAGCCATGGTGCCTGGCAGAGCAAGATTTAAAAAATTTAAAAAAAATTTAGGTCGGGTGCAGTGGCTCATGCCTGTAATCCCAGCACTTTGGGAGGCCAAGGTGGGCGGATCACTTGAGGTCAGGAGTTCAAAACCAGCCTGGCCAATGTGGCGAAATCCTGTCTCCACTAAAAAAAACAAAAACAAAAACAAAAAACAAAAACCAACACACACACACACACACACACACACACACACACACACAAAACAAAAAACAAAAATTAGCCAGGTGTGGTGGCACATGCCTGTAATCCCAGTTACTCAGGAGGCTGAGGCACGAGAATTGCTTGAACCTAGGAGGCAGAGGTTGCAGCCAGCCGAGATTGCGCCACTGCACTCTAGCCTGGGCGACAGAGTGAGACTCTGTCTCAAAACAAAACAAAACAAATTTAAAAAATTTTTCAAAAGCAAGATTAAAAAGATTGAAAAAATCTTGCCCCTCATTTAAAAAAACTTGGCATGCACATTTATTCCACAGTGAGAGTTGCTCAGGTTGGAAAAGCAGTTTTGTTCTGCCTGTCTCTTCTGACAGCTGGCTAAAACGATGTCCACTCAGTGGCCTGGGTTTAATTGTAATGTTCTCAGTTTCTCTCTGTGCTGCATGAAGATTGGGAGGCACATTGTTGCCCACCAGCTGCTCGCTGTGAATAAGTGCCGAGTGTTGACATTCTGGAGCAGGTGCCTCCATCCACATAGCGGTGCCCTTCCTGGCAGCCCACATGGTGGGCACTCTGCCGGCCCGGTTCCCAGAGTCCCTTTCTATCTCACAAAGTATTCATTAACTTACCCCATAAATGTCCTCCCTTATAGCATCACTGTTACGTGATGAACAGGACCCAAAGAAATAGTGGTACCCATTTCCCTCCTGGATGGATGGATCAGGTTGCAAGTTACGGAAAATCAAACTACAATTGGTTTAATAAATAACAGTGCATTCCTCAGAGTACAGGTCTGTCTGCTGTAACAAAAGCCAAAATCACCATGATTTAAATAAGACAGACATTTACTTCTCTGTCAGTGACAATCTGAACATAATGTGAGCAATGCTGAGTGGGTGTCCCTTTTATTTTGTTACCCATCTTCCTCAACCTGCAGGTGGCTTCACCATCTGGTTTACGATGGCTGCTGCAGCTCCTGCCATCATATCTGCATTTCAGCCCATGGAAAGGGCAGAAAAACAAAGGGAGGAACATACCTTTTCTTTGGAGGGCATGAACAGGAAATTGCACAACTCATTTCTGCCCTCATTTCATTGACCGGAATCCAGTCATGTGGCCATGCCCAAGTGCATGGTAAGCTGGGAAATGTAGTCTTTATCTAGGCAGCCATGGACTCAGCTAAAACTATTAATATTACTGTAGAAGAAGGGGAGAGTGGATATTGAGGTACAACCAGCAGTCTCTTCATGAATTCAGTGAAGAGAGTTGAGCCCCCACTGTTGCTAAGCACTGTTTTAGGCGGTGAGGATACAGCAGTGGGCAAGATGACAAACATCCTATTTCTTCCAGAGCTTGCATTCAAGTGAGAGGAGAGCCTAGTGTCCTGGAAGCCAGAAGGAGAGCGCTTCAAGGAGGAGGGGGTGACCGGCTGAGTCTATTGTAGCTGACGGGCGCGTCAGAGGCAGGGTGAATGTCTGGCCGCTGGAGTCCCTGGAGACCTTGACGAAGTCATATCAGTGACATGGAAGGGCAAAGCCTGGAGAGTCTAGTTCCTAATGCATAGGAATTGGGGTGAAAAAAAGGGAGCTCTTTGGATATATCTTCTTTCTATTAAGGAAAGGAGAGAACTGGGGATGTGCTGTTGAGACTTTCTTTTTTTTTTTTTTTTTGATGGAGTCTTGCTCTGTCAGCAGGCTGGAGTGCAGTGGCTCGATCTCGGCTCACAGCTCACTGCAACCTCCATCTCCCAGGTTCAAGCGATTCTCCTGCTTCAGCCTCCCGAGTAGCTGGGGCTACAGGCATGCACGAGACAAGTTTTTTAAGATGGAGAAATGGCAGTACATGCATGTGGTTATGATGGTAATGAACCTGGAGAAGGAAAAATGAAAATGCAGGAGGGCTGGGTACAGGGCTCATGCCTGTAGTCCCAGCTACCTGGGAGGCTGAGGCGGATCGCTTAAGCCCAGGAGTTCGAGACCAGCCTGGGCAACATGGCAAAACCCTGTCTCTACAAAAAATACCAAAAAAAAAAAAAAAAAATTAGCCAGGTGTGGTGGTGTGCACCTGTAGTCCCAGCTACTTGGGAGGCTGAGGCGGGAGGATCGCTTGAGCCCAGGACCAGGAGTTCAAGGCTATAATGAAACATGATGATGCCACTGCACTCCAGCCTGGGCATCAGAGACCCTTTCTCAAGAAAAGGAAAAAGAAAAATGAAAATGCAGGAGAAAGAGGGGTACACACTGCAGGAGTGCCCTCCTTAAGGAAGTAAGAGGGCTGGGTATAGGGCACAGTGGAGGTGGACCTTCGTGAGGGGCAGAGTTGACAGATCAGGCTCGGAAAGAGGAATGTAGGTGTTGGTGGAAGCTCTTTGGATAATTTCTGCTCTCTCAGTGAAATGGGAAGCAAGGTCATGGATGGCTTGAGTGAAGATGGGGAAGAGCAGTAGGAAATTTTGGGGCAGAGGAGGCATCTGTCTGCTGCAGGGGTTGGGGCTTCCTCACGTGACAAGAAGCCTCAAGGTGGGACAAGATGGCTTCCACAGTGGGCTCCAGCATCACCACCAGCATTCCAAACAGGAAGAAGGTGGAAGAAAGGTGGGGCCCCACTGGTTGTATCTCATGTCTTTTAAAAGGAAAGGAAAAAATTTCTTTAGAAATGCACTAGCTGCTTTCTGCTTAGATCTCATTGGTCAGACTGGGTCACATGGGTATCCCTAGCTGCAAGGGAGGCTGGGAAATCAGGAACCAGGATCTCAAGACTGGCTTAGAACAGGGTGCACTGCCTCCTCGAGGGCTCCGTTAAGAGAAAGATGGGTCCGTTAAGAGAAAGATGGGGGATGTGCCTGCCACCCAAGTCTGATACGTCCTGTTCACCAGCAGCTTTGCTCATCTGCTAGTGAAATATCTGCTGGCATGCACATATGACAATTATGGACCTTCCATATTGTTTGCCATGAATTTCAAGCCCCTCTCCACCAGTAGTGTTACCTGCCAATAGCCTCACCTGTTCTCTCTGACTTGTCACTCAGTGTGTGACTAGCTTTATAAGTGTCTTGGCAATAGAATGGCTTGTACCTGGCTTTTCTACACAGCAAGCCACTTTGAATAATACCTCTGTGCTTTTGGTTGCTTCTCTGCCTTCAGTGATGGAAGTCATCAATTTTGTACTGGAAAGTTTTATTTTGTGCTTGTTCTAAAAAAATTCCAATGGTTCCCTGGAGTGATACCTTGTTTTGTAGGGGAAACATGAAAACATTTCAAAGGCTTCCAGCCACCACCAGCCACCTGAGATAAGAGAGCTCACACCGGTCAGAGGTATGATGCGTCTCCTCTTTCAGGTATTTAGGGTTGCACTTTCTATTTTTATTTTTCTTCTTTGTTTGTGCAAAATCATACATTTCCGAACCAGCACATTCCACAGGCATATAAAAATCCTACTTACCACTTATGATTGTGTTGTATTCTGAATCATAGAATTTTTGTTAATATTTTCATCCCCACTTCGATGTTTCAACAACCATTTTGCATTATCCACCCATTTTGGTCATTTGGGGCTTAATACAACAGGAAATACGTAGGGCCAACTATGTGCTGGGCACTATTCTAGGTGCTTTTTGATTTTTTGAGTCGGAGTTTTGCTCTCGCTGCCCAGGCTGGAGTGCAGTGGCACGATCTTGGGCCACTGTAACCTCCACCTCCCAGGTTCAAGTGATTCTCCTGCCTCAGCCTCCCAAGTAGCTAAGATTACAGGTGCACACCACCACACCCGGCTAATTTTTTTGTATTTTTAGTAGAGATGGGGTTTTACCATGTTGGCCAGGCTGGTCTTGAACTCCTGACCTCAGGTGATCTGCCTGTTTCGGCCTCCCAAAGTGCTGGGGTTACAGGCATGAGCCACCACGCCCAGCTGTAAGTGCTTTTTATAAATACTGTGGTGGTTTTAAAACATGACCCCAATTTTGGACACTCTTCCTGTTGAAGGGTGGGGTCTATGTCCCTTCCTTTTAATTGTGGGCTGGACTTAGTGACTCTATTATATCAATAGAAAACAGCAGAAGTGATGTTTTGTCATTTCCAAGGGCAAGTGTTTTCCTCCTGTTTCTCCCGGGATGCTTGTTCTGGGGGAAGTCAGCTGCCATGTAATAAGCCCGGCTCCTCTGGTTCTGCTCTGCTGCAGATAGCCACTTCAGTCACCAGCTCCAACAGAGCTGCCAACCGATGGCAGGCATCAGGTGCCAGCTGTGCGGGTGAACCATCTTGATTGTACCCATCCCAGCTGAGCTATCAGATAATGGCAGCTCCAGCAGACATCTGAGGCTAACTGCATGAAAACCCCAAGCAAAAACAACCCAGCTAAGCCCTTCCATTCTTGACCCACAAAATTTTGAGCAAAATAAAGCAGGTGTGCCTTTTTTTTTTTCGCACCACTAGAATTTCTAATTAGCAATGATCACCAGAAGACATAGAACTCATTTAATCTCCATTTCTCAGATAAAGAAATTGAGACCCAGAGAGATTAAGCAACTTGCATATGTTCTCATGGAAGAGATAAGAGATGAGTACAGTTGATTCCAATATTCCGCCTCTTGACGATAATAAGGGGAGAAAATGCAAAGTTAACAAGTAGTTATGCAAAACATGTAAAAATGTGCCAGCCAGGCTCAGGGCTGTTGAGGAACCCCTTGTTTTTGTTTTTGTTTTTGTTTTTGGAGACAGGTTCTTGCTCTGTTACCCAGGCTGGAGTGCAGTGGTACAATCATAGCTCACTGTAGCCACACCTCCTGGGCTCAAGTGATCTTCCCACCTCAGCCTCCCAAGTAGCTGGGACTACAGATGACACCACTGTGCCTGATTGATTTTTTTTTTTTTTTTTGGTAGAGATGGGGTCTTATTGTGTTGCCCAGGCTGGTCTCAAATTCCTGAGCTGGATGATCCTCCCATCTTGACCTCCCAAAGTGCTGGGATTACAGGCATAAGCCATGGCACCCGGTTTCCTTTGGACCCATTTTGGATGGATGGACTGTATAGTACACACAGCACCTTGAAGAACTGAGCAATTCCTGCAAAAATCGCAATTAATTTCACATTTCAAATTTGCAAAATGTCAGTGAATGAAATTCTAACAACCTTCTTTCATCTGAAACCTCCAAACTGCCTGGGGATCATCAGGGTTTTGAGACCGCACAGGGGAAGCTCTGACCCCTTGACTCAGCATTTTAAGCTCAGAAGCTTCCCGGTGAAAAATATTAGAGCCATTAAATTAAAGGACATCAAATTTAACTGTTGGATGCACCTTGGAGTCCATTGCATCTAACCTTCCACCCAGGGCAAGACAAGAAAACACATGTGTGAGTGAAGCAACCGTTCGATATGACGGTCTGAGCAGCTGCGGCAGACAGCTTGTGATTAACAGTTAAGGAACTGCAGAGAAAATATGGACATCAGATCACAGGGCTCAGGTGGTCACTGAGGCCGGGGACGGGGCCAGCCTCAAGGGTATGTAACCTGCGCACTCGCTCAGGGCTCCCCACCTGGAAGGATCCCGTGCTTGGTTTAATGCTCTGCTATTGCTGTCTTGAAATTCATAATAATTTTTGAACAAGGAGTCCAGAGTCCAGATTTTCATTTTTCACTGAGCTTCACAAAATCGGTAGCTGGTTCAGGCTGGGGAGGTCGGGGGCTGGTTCAGGAATGACCGTTTCAGACAGGTGAGCAGGACAGGCAAGACCTGGGGGCTAGAAAACCCCATTAGTTTGGGAAGCAGTGACTTGCCCAAGATCACCAGTCAGGAAGTGGTAGCACAAGGGTTTAAACCCAGGCCTCTCGGACTCCAGGGTCTGTGGTCTTATTTTTTGAGTCGGAGTTTTGCTTTTGTCGCCCAGGCTGGAGTGCAATGGCGCAATCTCTGCTCACTGCAACCTCCGCCTCCTGGGTTCAAGCAAGTCTCCAGCCTCGTCCTCCTGAGTAGCTGGGTTTACAGATGCCCACCACCACAGCCTGATAATTTTTGTATTTTTAGTAGAGCTGGGATTTAACCATGTTGGCCAGCCTGCTCTTGAACTCCTGACCTCAAGTGATCCACCTGCCTTGGCCTCCCAAATTGTTGGGATTACAGGTGTGAGCCACTGCGCCCAGCCTGGCCTGTGGTCTTAAATACTTTACTCTCTGTCTCCTGGGAAGGACCTCACACCTGAGCTGCTCTCTTGACTGTTCTTAAAATTGTGGCTTTCTCTTCCAAGGAGACTTCCTGGATTGCTCCAGCAGTTGTGCTCACCACTCCCTCCTTCCTTCATTCTTCCTTCCCATGGTCCTCGTGCCTGCCCCCGTTTCCTTTCCCCACTCCTCTTGGCTGGCATCTACCATGGCTTCCAGGCCCCCAGGCCCATTCTGATGGGGCCTTACCCCCGAAAAAAGAAGTCTTGGGCTCAGTTTTCTTGCTGCATACCGAATAGACTCCATGGTACAGCTTTTTTCACCTTCCCACTCTTAGAGCTGGGCTTCTGTCTCAGTTTCCCTGCCTAAAACTCCAATGAATGTGGGATAATGGGAGTCAGATGGGCCTGGTTCACCTCCTGCCCTACCATCACTCCAGTGCAAGCAGCTTCACCTCTCCAGGCCTCAGTTTAAGGCCTATCTGTTAAGCGAAGGAAGCGCCACCCTAACCAAGTGACCAGGGTTAGTATCACCAATGATCCATCCTGTACCCCCTGACATGTAGCAGTGACAATGTACTATAACTCTGGGCTGTTCTCCCCCACTGTGACCCATATTAATGATAAGAAGACATCAGACAGGCCAGGCGTGGTGGCTTACGCCTGTAATCACAGCACTTTGGGAGGCCGAGGCCGGCGGATCACCTGAGGTCACAGTTCGAGACCAGCCTGGCCAACATAGTGAAATCCCGTCTCTATTAAAAATACAAAAATTAGCTGGGCATGGTGGCGCATGCCTGTAGTCCCAGCTACTCGGGAGGGTGAGGCAGGAGAATTGCTTGAACCCAGGAGGTGGAGGTTGCAGTGAGCCGATATTGTGCCACTGTACTCCAGCATGGGAGACAAGAGCGAAACTCTGTCTCAAAAAAAAAAAAAAAAAAAAAAAAAAAGCAAGCATCAGACAAATCCAAATTGAGGGACAGTCTACAACATATCTGGCCCTTCAAAACTGTCAAGGTCAAGCAAAGCAAGCATAGTACAATGAACTGTCCCAGGCTAGAGGATTGAGGAGACATGATGGCTGAATACAATGTCATGTCCCAGATAGGATCTTGGAACAGAAAAAGAATCCATGGAAAAACAGGTAAATCTGGATGAAGGCTGGAGTTTAGTTAATGGTAATGCACCAATGCTAATTTCTTAATTTTGACAAAGGTACCACGGTTATATAAGATGCTGGCTTCAGGGGAAGCTGGGTGAAGGGTATCCGGGAACTCTCTGTGCTATCTTTGCATTGTTTCCATAAATCCAGAATTATTCCAAAATAAAACATGTATTTTTAAAAAGTCCCTGCGCTGCTGCTGTTGCTGTTGTCTGGCCAGGGTCCCTCCCAGTTCCTCTGCTGACAGGTCCTCTCCCTGGTTACAAGGGCAGGGGTACCTGACCCAGGCTGGGTCACCCTGGCCACAGCAATTGGTCCAAGGGATAAGCATGTGACCCACGCTGGGCCAATCAGAGTCCTTTCCTAGAATTGTTCAGCTTGGAATGGGAAGAGAAGCTCTTCCCACTCTGGCCATGAATCTGTCAGGCCGTAAGTCTGGGCCTGTGGAGGCTCCTGGTTCTCCTGCAGCAGGGACAGTGGGCCTGAGAGAACTACAGCACAAAGAGAGGATGTTGATGGCATTCAAGATGGCCTCCTCCTCCTTCCCAGTCTTCCTCAAGGCAGCCTGCCCTGTTATGGGAGTCAAGATATCACCTTTGAGTGTAATCCAGTTCAAACTGGTTTAAGTTGGGTTTCTGTCACTTACAACCAATGAGTCCTGGGGACTGATGACATCCCCTCAGGTTGTCATGAGGACATGGCGGCATATCTACAACCTGGCACAAGGGAGCCGCTCCTACGTGGTGAGGGGTCTTGTTATCCTCTCCAAGGAGTCTGGGGACTGCCCTGGACTCCAGCCTGCATGGCTGTGGCCCTGACACAGGCTCCCCTCCTGGTCCCACTCAGCCCCTGGTAGGAAGGAGAGGTCCCACTTCAAAGGAGCCCGCCTGGCTCACAAATCCCTTCCCATCTCCAGGCCCTGCTCCAGCCTTCTCCTCTGGGTGTGGGGAGCTGGGGTCTTGGCTGTGACCAGAGCTGGGTCTATGGCGGAAGAGAGGGGAAGTCCCTATCACCGCCCTGGCCAGACCTGGCAGAACTAAGGCACAGCTAGGTGTCAGATGCCAAGGCTGTGCCAGTGCTTGCTCTGAGAATGAGTTGTGATGGGCCATGTGAGCTGGAGTTCCATGGCCTCCAAGCATGAGGGCAGACAGAAAGCAGGAGATGAGAGAAAATGGGGAGATTTTGGAGAAACCAGTCAGAACTACCGGAAGGATCTGAGTGAGACCAAGGCCTCTTCTGTGGCCTGCTCTTACTGCCCCCTCTCAAATCTTCCTCCACGCCTTGCCCCTTCCAGGCGCCCTGCCTGCGTGCTCCTCCCACCTGTCAGGCAGGTTCCTGGAGCATCTCTTCTTGTGTGAAGATTTCCTTTGCCCAGTGCCCACCCCTGGTCCCTAGGGCAGAGCCGAATTCACCAGCCTTCCTGTTCACCCATCCGTTTTCTCTCCTCATGCTGGCCACTCCCTCTTCTTTTCTTCCTTCGTTTGTTCACGCAGGCATACACTTGATCATTTTCCTTAGCAAATATTTTTGGAGTGCCATCTGCATGCCAGACCCTGAGCACGCAAAGGTGAATGGGACCCACCTGCCTTTGCTTCTGTGGCAGTGAGGGAGAGAGGAGGGGCTAGGTTTAGCAGGCAGAGCTGACAGGAGCCCAGGTGGCATCCAGGTGGCATTCAGGTAGCATCTGGGATTTGAGCCTGAGTAACTTGGTAGCAGCCACACAAACCCTCCCTTTGCCATGGAGTCTTGGGAATATATACAATGCATCCCCCTCCCCAGGGACCGTCAGTCCCCCAGATTCTACAGTGAGAGAACCTCAGGAAAGGCATGACTCTGGGAAGTGACAAGCGATTGTAGGGCTAAGAATGGGGCTTTGAGCCTAAAATATCCCCAGCGTCTCGTGGCCACAGCCTGGCTGCATCAGCAGGAAAGCCTGGGGGAATCATCGCCTCTTCTTCACTGTGTGATCCTGGTCAAATTGCTTAGCATCTCTGAGCCTCTGCAGTCAAATGAGAATAACAGAAGTACCTCGTAGATTGTTGTCATTATTCACAGAGACTTTAATTCATGTAGAGCACATGGCACCAAGCCTGAAGGAGAGTAAACACCTCCTTTTTGAGCTATTATTACGATTTTAGGAAGAGTGTGGCCAGGTTGCAGAAAACTCCAGATGCCAGCGTAAGGAGCTGGCGCTTTACCCTGTGGAGTCAGAGACCAGAAGTTTTTGAGCAGAAAAAAGAACATGAAGAAACCAGCCAGTCAGCTCCTTTCTAGCCCCTACAGCATCTGGAACCTCGGAGCCGGCAGCAGGTCAGCAGTGACAAGCCCAGCCATGAGGCCGGTGACCTCCAGCTCCCAGGAGCTGCCGGCTGCCCCAGTTCCGGACCCAGGCAGCAGCCTGCCCCCACCCCCAGCATCTCCCTGGAGGGAGCCAGATAGATGGTTTAATAATGCAGGCTGCCGGGCTGACCTCGTAGCCGCTGAGCCAGCTGAGGCTAACTCCGCTCCCCCTGCTGTGGCTCCCGCAGAATTCCAGAGCTCCCTGCAAGGGTGCTCAGATCCAAATGGCAGCCACACAATAGTGCGGGGTGCAGTGGCCTCTGGCTAGGGGACAGAATAAGTCAGGCAGATGCAGAGATCTGAGCCTTCCTTCCTCCTCCTCCAGCTCTCCCTGGGGGTGTCTCAGAGGAGTCTCCTGGTTCAGAGAGCTGAGAGGAGGCCATCTGCCATGGGGCTGTAAACACTCGGCAGATCCCGCTTCTGTTGGAGCAGGCCTCGGGGTTGGGGGGAGGGGGATGGACACTCTCGGTCTGGCCCTTGCACCATTGGGTGGGGCAGCTCACCAGGACCCTCCCCAAGCACCTGCTTGTGACTGGCAAGGGGCTGGGCACCCATGGCACAGATCTGGATTAGATGGTTGAATTGGCTGAAAATGGCTCACCTTCTAGTGGAGGCAGCCGGTGTGTCAAAAGGGGTGTCCCCCATTGTCCTCCTGTCCCCTCCCTATCTGACAGCACACTCCAGGGCTGCTCTACCAAGACTGGCGGGGAGGCAGCCTGGCAAACCTCACCATCCAGTCATCTCAGCCCCAGCCAGGCAAGCAGGGTGCCATCAGCACCTCTAATAGGGTTCTCTGGGGTCCCTCCCATAGCTGGGTCTCTGGACCTACAGGCATCCACGTGGACACTTCAAAATATCCCCCAGAGTGTGGCCCTGGCCTTTGGTCCTCACAGGCACCCCCTCACTGGGGCCACACCTTCGGCCACCTTTGACTCTTGTCCAGCCCTAGGGTCTTTATGCACATTCTTTATGCATCATTAGCCTTGAGCTGCCCTTGGTCTATAAACAATGAAGACCATAGGCTCTCAGAATCATGGACTCCTAAGGAATCAGGCCATCCTGTGTTGGCTGCCACTCCTCTAGTTCTGTTTTCGTCTTTGATAGTCTGGATGCAGAACACAGAACTTCCTCAACTTCCCCAAATATAATTGATTGATCTCAAAACCACTGGCCCCCAAGAGGGCTCCTGATGGTACCTCCCTCCTGGGCTCCACCCCCTGTGTGGTCCCCTCACTACAATGAATGGGTCAGATCCATGGAACCAACGGGAAAGCAAAAATGAGTGTTACTTCTGAGGACAGGTCTTAAGAGACACAGGCTTCCTACTTGTTCTCACTCTGGAGAAAGCAGCCGCAATGTTGTGAGGACACTCAAACAGTCCTATGGAGAGGTCCATGTGACAAGACACAGAGGACTCCCACCAACAGCCAACACCACCCTGCCAGCCACGTGAGGGAAGCATCTCAGAAGCAGATCCGCCAGCCCCAGTCCAACCTTCAGATGGGTGGAGCCCCAGCTAAACATCTTGACTGCAAGTTTATGAGACATTTCAAGGCTGAATCACCCTCTCCCAAATGCCTGACCACAGAAACTGTGAAATAATAAGCATGTCATTTTGCAGATTTAAGCCACTGAGTTTTGAGGTAATTCATTACAAAGCAATAAATGACTCATAGGAGAAACACGCAGACTTTTCTGAAGGGAGTGGGGGGAAGGAGGTGGTAGGGAGACTGAAGTGGGGGAGGGGGCTCGTAATGTACACACCACAGCAAAAGAATGTCAAAATCCTTCCTAGAAATACATGTGTTCTTCGCAACTAGGCCTCCTGGGCGGGTCGGCTTCCCTCCCTGTCACCTTCCTCCCGACTTGTGGTCTCTTCTCTCTCCTACTCATTCTCCCCCAGGCCCCAGCATCTGACAACTACCTTCATCCTTGCATGCCCTGACCTGTCACAGTGACCAGAAAAACAAAACACTCCTAGATAAGAGGACCCACCTTCCCCAGAAGGCAGCTCAGCCCCCATCTCTTCCTAGTCCACTTGGCAGGGTTCCACCGTGGGCAAGGACCACGCTTTGCCTTCCAGGCCCGTCTTTTTCTTCCAGGCTCTGTCTCACCACTGGCTCCTGTCCTCAGCGAGCTGATGTCCTCAGTTCCAGTACTGGAGGCGCAACAGAAATGTGATTTTAGGTCTGGATCCAAAGGAGGAATGTGACACCCCGCACAAGCTCTGGGGTGTGTGTGTGTGTGTGTGTGTGTGTGTGTGTTTCTCTGAAAGAATCACTTTAACCTAATTTTCTTAGCATCAACTCAAAATGCCACTGAGACCAAGTGAAGAAAATTTCACCTAAGTACAAAGGGTAAATCTTGTTATTCACCTTAAACAATGCGTGAAGCTTTTAGCATTTCTATGTTCCTCTCACTCTTCCTCCTCTGTTCTCTAAGCTTTGAAGAAAGGACGACTTTCTGGAAAAAATGTCTTTCTAGTGACGTGGCCAGGGCAGTGGGATCATTTGGATGTGGGCCATGCTTGTTCACCTTGAAAATAAAGGGCACTTTCTGGTGAGCTGTCAGCCAGGGGCAGCTCCTGTGCACCTCTGGGAGAAGGCCGAGCAGATGGGGTTCTGGGATGCAGGGCAGGTGCCCAGCCCACCCATGTCACCTGGCACTGACATTTCGAGGATGGTTCTGCTCCGGTTAATTTTCCTGTGCACGCGTCACTCCACCCACAGCGCAATTAGCCCAGCTGAGGGCAGGAAGTGGTACCTGGATTCACATTCCTCCAAGACTGTCCATGGTGGTGGGGAGAGGAGAAATTAGGGCGCTGGTGGGAAGGGGGGGTGGATGCTGTGTGCCCGGAAGAGAACCTCCTAACGTCTAGATTGGTGGCTTATTAATAAGAATAATGTGTGAAAATGGCCTTGCACAGTGCCTGGCCCTGAGCGAGCCCCTGACACATGGTTGCTACTTGATAGAGGTGACCAAGTGAAGAATAAGCTGGGGGAGGTGGACACATAGAGAATGAATAATGACATGATGTGATGTGTGCTGTCACTGAAGCCTTGCAGAGTGTTCTGGGAGCCGGTGGAGAAGGAAGTAGCTCAGCCAGCTCAGTTTAGGAGTGGTCAGGGGAGGCTTCACTGAGGAGGCGGCTTTCAAGCAGTACCTGAGGATAGGTAGAAAGTAGACAGGTAGGGAAGGGATCTGAGAGGAGGAAAGTCCTCCCACATCAAGGGAACAGGATCAAAAGCACAAAGGTGTGAAGATGATGGGGTGACAGATCCAACTCCATCTTCTATATGGTGGCAGAAAGTGAGTCTGGAAAGGGCAGATATTGGTGTTGCTGGGACCCAGAACATATGTGGGATGATATTGAAGATGCTGGAGGAATAAATAAGGACCAACTGCAACGGGCCTTATTTAGGCAAGTTAAAGAGTTTGGAGTTTTGGTCAGGTGCGGTGGCTCATGCCTGTAATCCCAGCACTTTGGGAGGCTGAAGCAGGAAGATCACCTGAGCTCAGGAGTTTGAGGCCAGTCTGGCCAAAATGGGGAAACCCCGTCTCTACTAAAAATACAAAAATTAGTCAGGCATGGTGGTGGGTGCCTGTAATCCCAGCTACTTGGGAGGCTGAGGCAGGACAATAGTTTGAACCTGGGAGGCGGAGGTTGCAGTGAGCGGAGGTTGCACCACTGTGAGTGGAGATTGCACCACTGCACTCCAGCCTGGGTGACAGAGAGAGGCACTGTCTCTAAAATAAATAAATAAATAGTGTTTGGATTTTATCCTGTAGCAGAGAGGGCTTACCATTCATCTCTGTATTTATTCCTGAGGCAGACATCACCAATTGATCATGCCATTTTCTGCAAAGGGTGAGCACCTCTAGGCAGCTGCTGCCAATCACTTGTCATGAGAAAGAGAACATATTTGCCTCTGTGCATGGGCTCTGGGGAGCTACTGGAGGGTTTAAACAGATGGGTGGTGAGGGAGTTTGTTGCAGGTATCCAGGTGACGGCAAGCCTGGTCTGGGGCAGTGACTGTGGGAATGGACATGTTATTGCTTACGTTTGTCTCGGTCTTAACCATTCAGCTACGGATTCTAGGCAGTCTCCTGAGCTCCCCGCTCCCCGCATTCCCAGGTCCTCAGGGTTCCCTGTGTGTGTGTCTGTGTGTTTGTGTGTGTGCATTAGGTCTGCCTGGGCTTGATTTTAATAAGGAGCTTGCTATATGTCTGGAGCTGCACTATCTCACATGGCAGCCACAAGCCACATTATGGCTATTTAAATTTAAAGTAATAACAATTAAAATTAAAAATTTAGTTCCTCAGCCACATTAGCCACAATTCCAATCACTCAATAGCCACATGCAGTTAGTGGCTACTGTCTTTGACAGTGCAGACATGTATCCTTTCCACTATGGTCTAGAGAAAGCCCAGTCGAGTGTCTAGATGGTGTGGTCCACTATGACCCTCAGGCCAGGCCAACTCTATCTTCTATATGGTGGCAGAAAGTCAGCTAAGAGCTGAAACTCTTGTCAATGTACATCTGCCCAGTAAGGGCAAAGTCTCCAAAGGGAGATTCTTAGACCGTTTTAGAGCTTCAAACAAATTCTGACCAAATCCAGCCAGACCTGGAGGTCTCCAGGGAGAAGGGAGTGGCCGGCACTGTGCTGGGGGTACTGGCTGCTTTTGCTATATTTCTTTCACAAAGGAGGAAACAGGCTCAGAGAGGGTTGTGACTTGCACTCTGGAAGATGACTGGGAATGTCTCGGAAACAGAGCAGCAAGAGGCTGTTTTGCCACTGACTCCCTGGTATTCTTTGGGGTCATCACTGCTCAGTTTCTTGGGCAGGAGCGGATTAGGTGGCATCTGCCAGTGCCCATCTCAGAAAGTGTCTGGGCCTGAGAGCCACAGGGGGGCTGTTGGCTTGGGGAGCACTCTAATTTCTCGAGGGATCCGCCAGAGGGCGCAGAGGCCGTTATGTTCCGCCTGAGGGGCTCTTCCAGCAAGGTCTTGGAGCTGGGACCCTGCTTCTTGCCCAGCCTTGTCAGGGATACACACCATGTGTTGGATACCGCCCCTGCCCTGTAGGAGGGCTCAGTTTAGAGGGCAGAGACAGCACATGGCTTGTTTGGGTTTGCAGCGAGGGACCTTGAAGGATGGGTAGGAGTGTGCCAGGCAGCCTGGGGTGCAGGTGGGGAACGCCCAATAGTCCTTCTGCATACCCCAGGACAACAAGTGGCCTGTGACCCAGTGCTTGTCTGCCCTCCCAGCCCCATCCTGGGCCGTTCCCTGTTCTTAGTTGAAAGGAGGGAGGAATTTCTGGACAGACGTTCTTTCTGCTCTACTAATACCCAACTCCGTGGAGTTCCCTGTACACACATACAAAGCTGTTTCATGCCTCTGTGCCTCTTTGCACATGCTGTTCCCAGAGTCCAGGACACCCTTCTCCTCCTTCTTTAGCTGGCCAACTCCTACTCATCCATCAAGATTCAGCTCAGGCAGTGGCTTCTTCTGGGGAGTCTCCTTATTCCAGACCTGCATGAGATGTCCCGACGGGGAGTTCCCGCAGCCTGGACTTCATCTGCTGTGCAACACCTGAGAACAGGCGCTGGTGCATGCGGTCCTATAAAAGTGATGGAGAAGTACAGGGCCTGCTGGCAGCAGGCCTCCGACATGCAGCTCGCAGGGCCTCGGGAGGAGGTGCTTGCATGCCCAAGCACCAAGTTATAGGCCCCGGGTGCCAGGCTTCTTGCATCTTCCACCTCCTCCTCCTCCTCCCAGCATCCACCCCTTTGCAGGTGGCAGCAGGTGGCAGGGGCTTTGGCGTAAGGGGCGGGGAACTGGGCCTCTGGAAGGCTAATGAAGGTTCTCTAGCTACAGATGAGCCCAGTATCCCTTGGACCTACTCCTGGAGGGGTGGGGAAAGGCAGTGAGTGCCCTGGCACAAGGTAGGGGAGCGTAAAGTCTAATACTGTCTGTAGGCTCCCTGTGTAACCTTGGGGGAATCACTCCTCTCCGAACCTCAGTTGTCTGGCCTGTAAAATGGGAACGCAGCAGCCGCACTTCCCCAGTCGCCAGCGGTTGAACGCGGGACCAACCAGCAGGGCGCAGGCGGCAGGGCATGGAGGTACAAGGCGGAGAGGGGGCCCATCAGCGGAGGCGGAGTCCAGGGGGAGGGCGAGTCCAGGCGCACTTCGGGCGGCCCCGCCGCAAGTTTGCCCCCAGCTGTTGAATGCGCTGGCGGAGGCCGGACCCGGACCCGGACCCGGATCCCGCGGGGTGAGCAGCGCAGGGGGCCGCGGCCGGGACAGGGGTCCGCCAGGCCGGGGCTCGGGTCCGTGGGGCCGCCTTCGCCTCCCCGGGCGCTGCAGCTGCAGCGGCGGCGCCAGGCGCGGCCCCAGCCCCGCGGGCGTGTGTCTGCGAGCGCGCGTGTGTCCGTGGAGCGTGCGGCCGGCTCGGGGGCGGGAGCGGGCTTGCTGCGGAAAGGCCTGCGGAGGGCACCGGGAGCGGGCGGGCTGGCGGACGGACAGACGGGGACGGACAGACGGACACAGCCTGCCGCGGTCCCTGACGCGCGCCGCTTGGCCCCTCCCGGGCGCCCTCCCCGCCGAGGCAGGGGCAGAGGCGCGGCGGCGGGGAGGAGGGGGCGGCGGCGTCTGCGCGCACACGCGCGCTCCCAGACACACACACAGACACACGCGGGCCACCCCACGGCCACGCACCCCGCACCCACACCCGCGCTCACACTCACATTCACACTCACACTCACACGCGCAGGCCCCGCGGCCGCCGCTTCCCGGAGGCGGTGCTTGGCCCGGATCCCGGCTGGGGCTGGGGTAAGTGAATTCCTCTGGATCCGAGCGCCGCGACCGACCGACCGGGGAGACGGTGGGAGTCGGGGCTGGAGCCGGAGGGCACCCCCTCCGTCAGTGGGGGTGGGGCTTGGAGAGGGACACGGAAGGGGGGATGAGACGGGGAGAGCCACCCCCAGTGTCTCCTGGGTCTGGGGATCCCCGTGAGACCCCCGGGGGACCACCCTGCGCGAGGGAGGTGGTGGTGGTGGCGGTGGGCGGAGGCGGTGGGAGGACACCGAGGACGGTCGGTGAGGTGAGCGTTTCTGGGGGTGGTGCAGAGGCTCGATGGTGGACGGTGTGCCAGCCGGTGCCACACTGCACCTCTCTGCCCTCATCTTTTCGAATCGGGGGCCCTAACCCCTCTCTTTCACGGGGTGCTGCCGGGTCAAGGCATTCATCCTCTAGCTGGTAAGAGGGGTTGACGGGGTGGATGCCTTCTAGGGGAAGGGGGGCCAGGGTGGGGCTTGACGGCGGTGGGGTTGGTAAGACCAGAATTGGGGGGTGGGGACCCTTTCAGAGGCGCTGGCCAGGGACAAGGAGGGAGGCAGCCCAGGGAGGCGGCATAAATCGCAGACACTGCAGCTCTGGCAGGGCCGGGGCCACTGCCGGGTGTGTGTGTGTGTGTGTGTTTGTGTGTGTGTGCGAGCGCGTGCCAGTGTGTGTGTGTGCGTGCGTGTGTGGGCTCCAGCAGCTGTCAGGGGACGGGGAGGGGGTGGGTGTGTTGGCTGGTGGGGCGCCGTGTGCATGTGGAGAGGATTGTGCGTGCTGTGTGTGTGTGGTGTGTGCGTGTGTGTGTGGACATGGGGTGGACCCTGCTCTCTGTCTGTATACACACAAGCGCACACACGCACACTGTCAGTGGCCTGGCAGGATTTCCTCGGAATGTTTGGAGGGAAGGGAGCTGATGTGTGTGTGTGTGTGTGCGCGCGCGCGCGTGTGCATGCACACTCGGGGAGCTTGTGTCCAAAACAGAGGCCACAGGCCATGGTGTGTCAGGCGTGCCCAAGGAGGGAGACGAGAAGGGGACAGTGGTGCTGACCGTGCACTCAGCTGGGGAGGAACGTGGTACTCGGCACTTTCTGCAGCTCAGGGCTCTGTGCTGTGCCCCTTCCCCCTGGACTCCTCCCACCCAGCAGCTGCGGCTGGAGGGCACTGCCTTGGTCCCTTGCTGAGACGCAGGTGTTGGGCTGGAGTGTGTGTGTGTGTCTGGGCTGCGGCTGTCGCTATCAGCAGGCCAGGCTGTCGGAGTCAGAAAGCTGGAGGGAGTGGGGTGCTGGCAGCACCTGGAGGAATGTGGTGGAAGCTGTGGGGCGCGGACTGCCCGGCGCGGTTACCGAGAGGCGTTTTAATATGCAAGTTGCATCATGAGATGGGACTGGGAGTGTGTGTGTGTGTGTGTGTGTGTGTGTATGTGTATGTGCATGGCTGACACCCCTGTTCTCGTGGCCCGTGGACACCTGTGGGACGTGTCACGTCTGGGCCATCAGCAAAGCATGTGGGCATGTGTGTCCCCTGAGAGGGGTGCACAGGCAGGTGCTGTCCTGATGAGCCGGGGGCCCTGCAACTGTGTGGGTGGGGAGGTGGGTACCTCTGGGCCATCAACGCCTAGGCAGGAAGAAAGAGTGTTAATTGTGGGGACATCAGGAAAAAGTATGTATGTGAGGTCAGTGAGAACCTCAGGTGTGACATAAGCTCCAGGCCGCAGGTGACGTCACTGGGACAGTTTTGTCGGAGGTTGCTCCCCCCAGCCAGAGTGTGTAAATGTGATGTCACGGGAGTGTGTGTGGCCGAGTGTGGTTATGTCTCTTGTATATGAGGGGTGGGAAGGGGAGAGGGATGGAGCCTTAGGACGCGTGGCGTGGTCCCTCCCAAGAGGCCGCCTTTCCCAGCATCCTGAGTGGGCATGGGACCCCTTTCCTTAAGTCCTGCCCCCTGAAGAGTGCACCTTCCAGGACTGGAACCCCCGAAGGAGGTTCTCACATCAGCACCATTGGCTGCTGAACTCCTTTGCCAGGTGGGCCTGGAGGCCTCCAATGTGCTGCAGCCCCCTATCTGACCTCCCCAGTCCCTGTTTTCCTCTTCATCCCAGCCAGGCCCACCACCCCTGGGTGGATGTGCTTTAATGAGTGAGTGTGTCAGTGCATGTGACAATAGAAAATGGCCATAGCCAGGGAGCGTGAGGCCATTGGTTCGAATCCCATTTTGCTGCTTTCTGTGTTTTGTGATTTAAGCATTCGCGTCGCCTCTCTGAGCCTCAGTCTCTCCTCTGTAACATGGGGTGAGGGGTTAGAGAGGTGAAGGGGGTTAAGGAGACCATGGGCCTTGTGGGGGGCGGGTGCTGATGCCTGGCATATGGTGGGGGCTCAGTCCACGTGAGCTCTGTCCTCTCACCTCCTATCCCCCTAGCCCAGAGTAGCTGCTTTCCTGTTTTGGTTTAAGTCTAACTTTGCAAAGGACTTTCTTTTCTTTCCTTGGATTTCCACGGCAGTTCTTTGAGGTGGGTGAGTTAGCCACTATTATGTGGATATTTGACAGATGAGTAAACTGAGTTCTGGAATAAGCTGTCTGTTGATTTAATGTGAATTCCATCCCCCCCCCCGCCGCCCTCAGTGGCTACAGGGAGACACATTTGATTACCCAGCCCCTTCTCGAGGGGTACCTTCCTTTCCTGGAGAGATATGGAGCTATGAGGAATTGGTGGTGGGGTGCCAGGTGATGAGCCCAAGGCCAAGAGTCTCTGGCTGGAGGAGAGGCTGCTCTTGACTCCCAGGTCAGTGCTCTCTTGCTCTTCCACCCACAAGCTCCAGAAACAGTCAGCGTGATAGGAACGGGCACACTCAGCAAGCCTTCTCCAGTGGGGCGTGTCTAGGGCGGTCACTGGGGGCTCCATGCCTGTTCCTCAATATCCCCTGAGGTCTTGTAGGATGCTTGTTTTTGGCAGCAGAATTGGGTTCCAGTGACACCCCTGCCGCATCTGCATCCTGGCTGTGTGTGACAGAGGTCAGCCTCTCCTGTCTCTGTAAGAGGGTGGTGGCAGCTTCCCTTGCGGGTGTGATGTGTGAGTGTGAAAGGGTGACAACCGTGTGCAGGGCTGGGAGGCACACATTGCTGCTACCCTCACCTGCTCCGGCCACAGTGCCTGGGGGCCAAGCTCCTCTCTCGGTGCCCCCACCTGCCCCATGTTGTGACATGTGCTGTGTGGAGTGGATGGCCGAGAAGTAGGATTGCCTCGAAACCTGACGCTTCTTAGCAAGTTAGACCTCTTCAGGAGCTGTGTTAATCGTCTAGAAGGTTTACCCAGTCCTCTGCCTCCTGCCGTCCCAGCCCAATCCCTGATTAAATTAACCTTCTCTTGGCTCAATTACCACCTGGGGCAGAGGCATTGACATTATTACTGGAGATGGTGTCTGGGGGTTGGAATAATTGAGCCCCCTCTCCTTCCCCCTAGCTCTGCCGACAGTCCCCAGGAAAGCCCCAGAGAAGCCCTGAGGACTCAAGAGCCACCTGGGCAGGCTTGCTTATGCCTGGGGTGCCAGAGGAAGGGTGCTGGCTGCACGATGCTGCTGATTGAAATAGTAATAACTATAGTGATAATAATAATAATGATATCAGCTAATATTATTGAGCCCCTACTGAGAGCCAGGCCCGGTTCGAAGCTCTTTATGGGCGGCATTCGTTTAGTCCCACAAAAGCCAGCTGCAGCAGGCACTATTATTATTCCTCATTTTGAAGACAAGAAACAGAGAGGTTACAGACCAGTCCAGGGCCACACAGCGATGGAACCAGGACTGGAACCCTCGAAGGGAAACTCTCACATCAGCACCATTGGCTGCTGAACTCCTTTGCCAGATGGGCCTGGAGGCCTCTACATCTTGGCCTACCCCTCTCACTGAAGGCCCTTTCTGGGCCTTGCTTTGCTTATCTGTAAATGGGTGCAGTGACCCTGCCCTAGGGAAGCTGGGGGTGGCGGACGCCCTTTGCTTTGGCTGCAAGGAGAGACAGGAAAGGAGGGGCCTCGTGGGTGGTGCCTGCATCTCAACCCCCCATCCCATTCCCCACAGAGATGGGACACCCCCAAAGGCAGCCCTTTGCTCCCTGGCCCTCCCACAGTGCCTCGAACAGCAGCGCTTGGAGGGCTCCCCCGGGTGACAGTGGGGAGGTTGCCCCAGGATCAGTATCTTCTTCAGGTCCCGAGTCTATCGTGGCCTCAGCTGTGGCCCCCTGGACTCCCCACCTGGCCATCTTGCTTGTGGAAAGGGCAGGGGCAGGGCTCCAAATCCAACCTCTTTTCCTCCTCGGTGTGGGTCCTGGGCAAGTCACTTCCCCCCCCCCCCCCGAGGCCCAGTTTCCTCAATATGAAGTGGGGACAAAAGTACCGAATTCTTGGTTGGGCGTGGTGGCTCACACCTGTAATCCTAGCACTTTGGGAGGCCGAGGCAGAAGGATCACCTGAGGTCAGGAGTTCGAGACCAGCCTGGCCAACATGGTGAAACCCTGTCTCTACTAAAAATACAAAAAATTATTCGGGCATCGTGGTGCATGCCTGTAATCCCAGCTACTCAGGAGGTTGAGGCAGGAGAATCGCTTGAACCCAGGAGGCCCAGGTTGCAGTGAGCCGAGATTGTGCTACTGCACTCCAGCCTGGGTGACAGAGTGAGGCTCCGTCTCAAAAAAAACTTCCCCAGTAGCTGGGATTACAGGCACACACCACCACACCCGGCTAATTTTTGTATTTTTAGTAGAGACGAGGTTTCACTATGTTGGTTAGGCTGGTCTCGAACTCCTGACCTCGTGATCCTCCCTCCTTAGCCTCCCAAAGTGCTGGGATTGCAGGCGTGAGCCACTGTGCCTGGCCAGAACAACAACAGCAACAATAAAACAACCAAAAAACAAAAAAAACGAATTCTTAACCCTTCTGGGTTGTCTTAAAGGTCATGCTAAAGGTTAGGTAAGAGAAGACCACGTGTATAACATCCTGTCTGGCATGCGAGATGCCATTATTTTCCTCCCCCTTCCCATCTGCCCCCTCCGTTCATTCCTGGCTTCCTGGAAGGGGTCTGCACTGTGCATGCATGTGTCTGTTTCTTTCCCATCCTTTTCACCCTCTGCTTTTCACCGCCTGAAGTGCATGGGTACTGCTGGGGTTGGGGGCGCCTAAGGATGCATGAAAAGAGCCTGGGTGCTGCCAGCTCTTGTGACTGTTTGTGTACACTGGTCACCACCTCTCTCAGGGGGAAGTAGGGAATGAATCCCAAGGCTGCCTGACCAGCCTGCCGTGGGCCTAGTCCCAAGACTCAGGCCTGACTCAGTTTCCCTCCTTGGCCCATCTATTATCCTTCTCCCCCTACAATTGCCCCTGAATCTTGGAGAGACAGAGGCTGTGGGGTCAGCCGACCTGCCTCACTCCCTTCCTGGCCCTTCTCATTCCCCAGTGGATTTCCTACATCTGCCTATTGCCTGTCTTATTTCTCCCACTTCATGTCAGCTCTGTGCAGGCGGAGACTGGTAGGCCCTCAAAAAATACTTATTAAACAAATTCCTTTCATCTACATGCTACCGAGGACGGATCGCTGCATTTTGCATTCAGATGGCGCGTGCACACACACCCTTATTAGCATGTTTCACCCAGGGAGAAATGCTGGGCCCCGGGGCTCAGGCAGGAACCCCCAGAGAGGAGCCCCTGCCTGGCAGAGCTCAGGGCCCTGGAGGAGAGGTGAGACACGGGAACCTCTGACAAGTGCCCAGCATGGGGTCTGCACACAGTAGGGCTTGCTTGACAGGTGATTCTTGTCCCTTTGTGACCTGACCGAGAGGGGGTTGCTGCTGCAGGCTGGAGGCCAGGTGTGGAGCGAGCCTCCCAGGCAGGGCTGGAGAGTTTGTGCCAACTTCTGCTCTGGGCTTTGCAGAATTCTCTCGATTATGCACCTGCTATGTGCCAGGCATCGGGCAAGGCGCTCTCTGTTATCTTGTTTAACTTTGGCTGGAGGATTGTGAAAGAGGTCCTGCCTACCCCTGGGTGGGGGCATGCCATATGGAGTGACCGTGTGAGCAGGGGCCCGGAGGTGGGGAAGCCCAGAGTGGATTTTGAGAAGATGAGTCTGGACATGTAGTTTGAGGAACAACCACACGGGACCATCCATGCTGCGCCAAGAAATTGAGTAATATCCTTTTTGTCAGGGAGCATTAGAATCTCTGGGTGTTCGTTAAAATGCAGATTCTTGGGCCCTGTCCACTGAGATTTTGATTGGGAGAGTGGACGAGGGGAAAATTGCAGGAACTTGCAATTTTAATGCTTTCCCGAAGATTAATTCACTCACATTTGCTGGTTGGATGGCAGCTGCATGTTCCCCGGGGTCTCTGAGACTCCTCCCAGAACCCTCCGGAGCCAGCAAAGCCATCCTCATTTTCCAGAGGAGGAGCTTGAGCTCAGAGAAGTGCCTAACCTTCCGCGCCACAGCAGCAAGTCAGGGGCCAAAACTGACTAATAATACTGGCTAATCATCTTCCGTTTCGTTGACTGCTGCTGTAAGCCTGTTTAAGGAGTCCCTCATTAAATCCTCAGAACGCCCCCTCTGCATCATTCCTGTTGCACAGATGAGGAATCGGAGGCAGCGTGTGCGGTCACGGGTTCGAGGCTGCACAGCTGCTAAAGCTAGGCACGTTAGCAGCCTAAAGTGTGGTCGGGATGAAGTGGAATTGGAGCGGGCCTGCCCCAGCACCTTGCACAGGGCGAATGCCCTCCCTCTCCCTTCCTGTGGAGCGAGGGCGCTGGTGGAGCTGAGTTTGCGGCTGTGCATGTGAGCAGAGGCCAGAGGCGGAGGTGGAGGTGAGGGCAGAGAAGCGGCGAAGAGGGCGGAGAGCAGAGAAGACGTCCTGGAGGAGGCGACCGACGCACAGCCGCGTAGCGGTGGCTCGATATGGTCCATCCACTTGGCGGAGGCAGACCTGGGTCTGGAGGCCGGCTGGGATTGTCCGTCCTGGGGGCGCACGGGGCGGGTGCGCGATGGCTGCTGGGCCGGAGGAGGGGGCGGGCGGGAACTGCCGCGGACCTGGCGTGGTGGGGACGGGAGCGCGCGCTCGGAGCCCCGCCGGGGCCGCACCGCCACCCTGCTCCCCCCCGACCTCGCCGCGCTCCCCACCTCCGCACCGTCCTCCGCCGTCCGCGGCTCTTCGAGGCCCCCGTCCCCCGCGGCCCACCCCGCCAGCCTCCGGAACTTGCGCCCGGCTGGCCCGGCTTTCCTCCTTACTTGCCTGTGTTTAGAATTTGCAGCCGCAGCCCCTGACGCTCGCAGCCAATTTCGCAGCCTCTGGGCTCTGCGCGGTGCCCGGGATCGGAAAGCGACCGGCAGGGGCGGGGGCTGGCGGCGGGGCGGGCCGCGCTGGGCAGGGGCACAGGGGGCGACCGGAGCCAGGACCCGGCGAGTTGCTGGCGAGGGGGTGTGTGTGCCGGGTGGGTGTGGACGGCATGGGGACGCGCCGCGTGAACTGCCCTGGGAGCGCTGTGGCGTGCAGGCGTGGCTGTGCTGGGGGTGTGTTGGCTCATGTGCATTGGCACGTGTGTCCGGGAGTGGTTCCCTGTGTGTGGGCATGCTTGGGGCATGTATGTTTTGGCGTGTGTCTATGTTGGGGGCCCCGTGTCCCTGGGCACGTTTTTCTGGGTGTGTTTGGTGAGCGTGGGGCGGGGCAGTCCACGGTGCCCCTGGTTTGTGCGTCTGTGCAGTGGCCGCATGCATTTTGGCACCAGCGTGGGCCTGCGTGTTGGGGAGGGTGTCTGTGTGGGGCGCCCCTGTGTTCTGGTTCAGCTGTGTGCAGTGCACCTTGGTCTCTAGGCCCACGAGTCTCTGGGTCTGTGATGTGCGTTTCTCTGCGGCGGTGGGAAGTTCTCCTGTGTGGATTCTGTCTGGGTGTGCTCTGGGAGGACAGGTCTATGTGTGTGTGTGTGTGTTAGGGTATAGTGTGTGCCTCTGGGGTGCTTTCCCATCCCTGCTGGCTGAGGGGCTGAGGGTCAATTGTGTGCTCCCAGCTAGGCCTGGGAGCCTTTCCTGGAGGAAGCCGGCCCTGCTAGTTCTCTGCCTTTGGGAGGGGGTGAGGGAGTTGAGGCAGTGTGGCGGGGAGAGGGGAAGGGAGGCCCGAGTGTGTGTTTATTTTCCGTTGGGCGCCGCTGGCTGCCAGCACTTGGTGGGTCTACATATGTTTGTGAATGGCAATGCCGAGGGGGCCGAGGTGTGAGCCCCTGCCTGCGGGGGAGGGCCAAGAGTACCATCTGGGCTGGTGGGGTGTGGGGCGGGACAGGGAGAGGGGCCTCCTCGGGAGGAGCTGAGTGTGTGTGCGCACGTGTTTGCGCAGATGGAGACGAGGTTCCGCCGAGGCCCGTCTGTCTGGGAGCGCCTGTCTGTGCAGGTGGAGGTCAGCCAGGTACTGTGCTCTTAGGCTGTGTGTGAGCCCATGTGGCGGGAAGGTGGGGTAGAGGCATTACACCTGGCTGGGAACAGGCTGAGCACATAGGGGAAGGCGTGTGCCAGTCCTGGCAGAGTTCTGAAGAGGAGAGGGTGTGCCGAGGGCGAGGGTGTCTTTGTTCCCTGGGGCCCGGCTGACGATGGGGTTGGGCGGCGTTGGTGATCCGAGTGACCAACAGGAGAGGAGGGTAGTTGGCCATGGAGGGGGTGAGGGCTGTGTGGGGGCACTGGGGGTCAGGGGAGTGTGAGAGTGTGTGTGCACACACACGTGGGTGTGACATGTGTGACCATGGCTGTGACTGGGGTGTGACTGGGGAGACACCTCCAGGCTGTGGAGCCCAGTAGGGAGTGTGGGACAAGGTGAAGGGGTGGGAGTGGGGGCCCCTTGGTTCCCAGAAAGCTCACTCATCTGTGCCTGCTCCTCCTGCCCAGGGGCTTGAAAGAAGCCCTGTGGCCCCTGGCCTCTTCCCTGGCCCCTGAGCCCCATGGGTTACGATTGGAAGCCTCAGCCCTCCATCTCTCCTGCCTCATCATCCTTCTGTCTCTACCTCCATCTCTTCTCCTCTCCCTGCCCCATCTCTCCATCTCAGTGCCTTCACATCTCTGCCTCCATCTCTCTCTGCATCTCTCCATCTCTCCCTGCCCTGTCTCCCCCATCTCTCTATCTCTGTCTTTCTCCATCTCTCTTCCATCTCCCTCCATTCCTCCTCTCCCTTTACCTCCTCTCTGTCTCACCCTGATATTCATTTGTGGTATATTCGGTTGCCATGGGAAACCCAAGAAAGAAGTGAGTGTACCCTTCAAGACTTCAGCATTTTTCCCTCCTCCCTCCCTCCTGCTGTCCCCCCTCCCTCTCCTCCCCTTCTCTCCCTCCCTCCCCTCTCTCCCCCTCGCCTCCCTGCAGAAGGAGAGGACTTGGGTGAGGAGCTGCTGCCACCCGGGCTGGGCCAGGACCTGAGATCTCATTGCTACTGCTGCCGCTGCTGCCTGGGGAACCTTTCTGAGACCCAGGTTGGGGACAGTGCCGGAGGGGCCTCCTCTGCTGCAGACATCTGGTAAGGACAGGGTCCTTTTGCCTGTGTGTGTGTCGCTGTCTGTGAGCATAGCTCACATGACCCGGCCTTGCAAACCTGTGATGTGGCCCAGCCTCAGGCTTCTGTGTGTTCCTTCTTGTGGGCCTGGCCCCTGCCCCCAGCCGTGGGCACCCCTCCCACCCAGCTTTCCTTCCACAGGGCCTATGAGGCGGCCTGCAGAGCGGCAGGCCTGTTGGGGGCTAAGACAAGCCCACTGGGGAGGGTGGGCAGGAAGCCCCTGTTGGCTCAAGGACCCCAGCTCCTGCCCCATCACCCGGCAGAGAGGCTGAGGCAGGCTTAGTCTGCACTCCAGCAGGTCAGGGGGCATCTGTGCACCTGCTGGGGGTGGAGAGCCAGCTTCCAGGGGAAGGCCTGGGACAACATGGTGGGGGTCTCGCTCAGGTGGGGGTCTGTCCATTGTAGAGAGAGAGGCTGGAAGTGAGCCGGGAGCAGGGGAAAACGCCAGCAGAATTGATATGGGGCCTGATCCTATGTCATTGAATTTTGGAGGCACAGGGAGAGCCGTCTGGCACTAGGAGGCCGCAAACAGGCAGACAGGCAGGCAGAAGGAGCTGCTCCGTCCTGGCTGGGGCTGGTGGCTGCCCTGGAGAGGAGAGGAGAGGAGAGGCTGGGGCTGTCACCGAGGCTGTGTTGGTGGCGGCCACGTGGAGGGAGCTGTTGTCCAGGCGGCGCTGAGTGACGGTGGTTGCCGTGGTGAGGGAGCCGCCTCTGTGGCATTGTGGTCTCCGTGGAGAGAGGAGGAGACAGAGAAAGGAGGCTGGCTGGCTGCGCACAGTGTTGGTGGTTGCTAAGGATAGGGAGATGCTATCTCCAAGGTGCGGTGGTCCCCACGTGGAGGGGCTGTGGCTGTCCAGGTGTTGGAGGTCCCCAGGAAAGGGGTAGTGATGGGTGCCCTGAAGGGGGCTTGTGCAGGGTGGTGGGTGCGCCCCGGAGGACGGAGGAGGTGTGGTGGGGGAAGGGCTGCTGCAGGGGACTTGGTGTTGCTGTCACAGGCTGAAGTGGGGGTTCTTGGTGGTGGAGGGCTGGGGAGTGAGGCACAGTGGGCGGGTCTGCACTTATCCTGCCTGCCCCTGTGGACAGACCGGAGACCCTGCTGCACCAGCGCTTGCTTCCTCCCAGTGCCTCCACCCAGCCCTTCCCTCCCACTTCTGTGGTCATGATCTTCCCACCTCTGCCTCCTTGAGCCCTCTCGCTCCCCAGGGCCTCTGATCTCATAAGTCTCTCATCTGGGCACATGCTCCTTTCTTGCCCCCAAGTGACTTTGTCCCCATCCGTCATGTTTGCTGAGGACCTGTTGACCCAGTGCCGTTCTCTGGGGGACCAGCATTGGTACCTGCCTTTGAGGAATCAGACGGGAAGTGACTTGCCCAAGGTCACCCAGCAGGCACGTTCTGGGGAGCATCTCCCTCCCTGAGTGCCGGACTCAGCAGGCCTAACTCCTTCCCTGGGGGAGCCTGTCTCTCTGACACCGTTGAGTCCTCTCTCTCCCCCCAGTCCCCAGGGGTTCTCCTGAAGCAGCATTTCATTCAATTACTAAAAACAGGAAGCTGCACAGGAGAGCAGCGAGTTCTGGGTTTGCAACCTGGCTCTGGTTTTTACGGTGGAGGACCTCTGGCCTCAGTTTCCCCCTCTGTAAAATGGAGATGAGGCACATGCCTCCCAGGGTGGCTGTTATTTGGGCTCATGGATGTGATGGCTCCTGGTATGTAATAGACTCTCAGTGACTGGGAACCACCACCACCATCATCATTATTATTATTTTTTTTTGAGACGGAGTCTCGCTCTGTCACCCAGGCTGGAGTGCAGTGGCACTATCTCTGCTCACTGCAACCTCCGTCTCCCGGGTTCAAGCGATTCTCCTGCTTCAGCCTCCTTGAGTAGCTGGGACTATAGGCGCGTGCCACCACGCCTGGCTAATTTTTTGTATTTTTAGTAGAGATGGAGTTTCACGGTGTTAGCCAGGATGGTTTTGATCTCCTGACCTTGTGATCCACCCGCCTCAGCCTCCCAAAGTGCTGGGATTACAGGCGTGAGCCACCGCGCCTGGCCCACCATCATTACTTTTAAAAATCGTTTTAAAATGATTTCCTGACACGCGTAGGGAAGCCAGATCTCACTAGAGTTCTGTGGCATCGTACCTTTCCCCATGACCCTTAGTGGTGGGAGTACGGTCCTGAGTTGGTGGTAACAGGAACGGGGCCGGAGAGGCAGAGAGCCTTCTGACAGGCACATAGTACCCTGGTGGCTGAGCCAGGATGGAGCAGGTGTGGCAGGCTCCCTCTCTGGTGCTCCTCTCCTGCCTGCCCCAGGGCCTGTGTGTGCACTTTCATCAGGCGAGCCCTGTCCCCACAGCCGTTGCCTGAGCCCCTGGCCACTGGTCTCCTTCATGGGACTTGGGTGCTCTGAGCTGCTCAGCCAGCCCTGGCCTAGGGCACCGCATGCCAGGCATGTGGCTGGTGGTGCCCTGAGAATAACCGAGTCAGGGGAAGACTGTCCTGTCTACCATTTTGGCATCACCAGGGGGACAGGACAGGCAAGGGAGGACTGAGAGTGATGGCCAAAGAGGGCCATTTGAGAGGCCTGGGAAGTGACGGGTAACTGTCTTTCAGGTGATGAGGGCCTGAGCTGAGATCCCAACACTGCCACTTTCCTGGAAGCTGCCGTTGGGCATGTTTCTCCACCTTTCTGGGCCTCAGTTTCTTCACCTGTACAATGGGGATGATAAGAATCCCTACTTCACCTTGCCAGAGCAAGGCCAAGGGACAAAGTAAGGCACAGGGCTTGGCACTGGGAGGTGCTCCAGGTGGCAGCTGCTAACATTTCAGGGTGACCTGGGAAGGAAGAGAGAGGGCTGTCCTGGGTGGCCTCAAAGGGCAGGCTCAGACCTTGGTTCATCCTAGAGACGTTCTGACAGGCTGAGCTGTCTTGGGATGGGAAGGGGGAATGTAGTGAGTGCCCTTTGTAAGTGAGACCGCCCAAGGCTGCCAGGAGTGTGGGGTTTGAGACCACTAGACTTAGGTTCATGTCCCGATGCTGTCATTTATGGGCTATGGGATCTTGGGAACCTCAGTTTTCTCACCTGCAAAATGGGAGGACTATTAATGGAAGCAGGGTTACTTTAAATGAATGAAGGAATGTGGAAGAGACCTAGGATGCACTTCAAGCTGCATCGCAACCTGGTTTCCAGAAGAGGAAGGCAAGGAGCAAGGGGTTTGGGGGGCTTAGAGTAATAATGCTCACAGCTGCTGTTTATTGAGCATCTGCTATGTGCCAGGCATTTTCCCATAGGCTCCAGCTCTCATTTGATTCACTGGCCTTTGACCTTGCTGTTCCTTCTGTGCTCACTGCTGCTCTCCTGGCTCAGTGCATGTCTGTCTCCTGTTCTGGTTAACTGTCACCTCCTCAGGGAAGTCCTCCCGAGCACCCTATCCTTTGCCCTTGGCCTCCTCCCTCTGGTTTCTTAAAGCCCTTAACACAACTTGATGCTGTTTTATTTGCTTGCTTACTCTCTGCCCTCCCACCACTGTAGAGTATCAACTCCCTGAAGACAGCTTTTTTTTTGTCTTGTTCTCTGCTCTATCTCAAGTACCTTGAATGGGGCCTGGCACATAGTAGAGGTTCAATAAATTTGTGTGACTGCATGGATAGGTAACCCCACCAGCCACCCTGGGAGGTCAGTCTCGTTATTCCCATTTTATACAAGAGGACAGTGAGGCCAGGGAGGCCGGGTAAGGTGCCGTGGGTACACAGCAGGCTGTGAGTGGCACGCCGGGCATTTGACTCGAGGTCCAGTGCTGTCTTCTGCTGCTGTATACCACCTTGCTGGGAGGCCTTGCGTTTCAGGCTGAAGAACTTGGACCTGACTCTGGATGCCGAGTCAAAATCACAGATTCTTAGGGGGGGCTTGTGCCATAACGAACAGCTTTTGGTAGCAGCCTGAATTGTCAAAAGAAATCAATCCAGATGCTCGCTAGCTGTGTGACCTCAGGCATATTACCTAACTACTGTGTACCTCAGTTTACTTGTCTGTAAAATGGGGATAATATCTGGGCTGGCTTCTAGGAGGCAGTGGGCTTTGAGCTTAGATTTGCAGGCTTAGCTCTGAGGCCTCCTCCCCAGTGTTGCCATTAATGGGCTGTGGGATCTTTTTTTTTTTTTTTTAGACAGGCTGTTGCTCTGTCACTCAGACTGGAGTGCAGTGGTGCAGTCATGGCTCACTGCAGCCTTGCAGCCTTGACCACCTGGACTCAAGTGATCCACTCATCTCAGCCTCCTGAGTAGCTGGGACTACAGGCACATACCACCATGCCAAGCTTTTTTTTTTTTGTAGAGACGGGATCTCACCGTGTTGCCCAGGCTGGCTGTGGGGTCTTGGGAGCCTTAACCAGCCTAGTCTTAGGAGACTTCACTGCCAGCTGTAGAGGGATTTGAGACTTTGATTTTGGAATAGGCAACATTTTAAGTGCCTGGGACAGGTCATTTTCTACTCTGCCAGCCTGTGCCCTCTCACCCCCATTTCTGCCAGCCCCACCTCTTATCCCCCTAGGGCAGAAGAGGGAATGAAGGAGAGAGAAAAACCAGTTTGGACTGAGCACCTCTTCTGTGCCGGGATTTTCTTCCTGTACCTCACCCCGTCTGTGGCCACAGCAGCCCCTGCAGCATAGGGAGTGTCACACCCGGTTGCAAACGACCAAACAGAGGCCTGGAGAGATTCTCTTCCAGGGTGCAGAGCAGGGATTTGGACCTATGCTCAGAGGTCCCCGCCCACACTGTGTCAAGGGAAGGGAGAGGGGAGGAAGTGGGGAGCGTGGTTAGGGGTGCCTGGCCCAGGCCCACTCCTGGGTCACCCGGGGAGGAAGGCTGCTGGTCCCAGCCCTGCCAGGATGAGCTTAGAGTGCCGGGCTCCCAATGCCAGAGGCTGGACCTGGAGGGGCTGTGGAAGGGACAGACAGCTCCGCAAGCCTGACCACCCACCCCGCTGGCAGCCGCGCCAGTCCAGGGAATAGATCTGGCCTTGTGCGTGGTTGTCCCGGTGCCTTGCTCAAGACCCCATTTGTTTGGGGAGGAGAAAGGGGGGTCTGTGGTGCCCAACAGAGGTGGGATTCATGGACAGGGCCCGGTGGTGGGAGGGTAGCCTGCCTGGTACTGGCCAGGCCTGGAGGAGTGCCAGGAAGAAGGGAGAGGAGGGGCTGAGGCGTGGCCTGGGGTCCTGCTTGGCCCCTTGGGGCAGAGTCCTGCAATCAGGTAGGGGGCTGTGTGGATGGAGGTGCTGGAGGAGGGAGTCCTGGGACCTCTTAGTCTTTGGGAAGGGGAGTGAGTGCCCTGTCTGAGGGAGATAGAGCCTCAATTCCCAGGAGCCCCAGTCTGAGGGTGGAGGCACTGTGGGTGTGCTGGCCTCAGTTTGCTTTCTTTCTTTTTTCCTTTTCTTTCTTTCTTTTTTTTTTTTTTTTTTGAGACGGAGTTTTGCTTGTTTGCCCAGGCTGGAGAGAAAGCTGAGATTACAGGCGACTGCCACAATGCCCAGAAAATTTTTGTATTTTTATTTTTAGTAGAGACCAGGTTTCGCCATGTTGACCAGGCTGGTCTCGAACTCCTGACCTCAAGTGATACACCTGCCTCGGCCTCCCAAAATGCTGGGATTACAGGCCTGAGTGTACAGACTGAGGCGCCCAACCTCAGTCTGCTTTCTGAATGTCGGAGGAGAGATGGTCCTCTGAGCGGAGGTTCCAAGAGCTCTGGGAAGACTTTTTTTTTGGAAGAGGCAGTCCCTGAGGGCTGGGAGTGGTTGGATTGGGGCAGGGGCTGCAGGAAGGCCTGTTTGGTGGTGGGAAGTGAGACCTTGTGAGTTAGATCCCACGCCTGAGTGGTCACATGTCCTGGTCTCAGTTTTCTTATCTGTGAAATGGGGATACTGCCAGGCTCCTGGAGGGGATGGAGTGAAATAGGATTGGAGATAGGAGTATCTGCACACAGTAGGCCCACAGGGTTGCCAGGGGCTGCGTGAGAAGCTAGAAGCTACTGAGAACCCATAGCCCCATCCCTGTCTCCACACTGGGTCACAGCTCAACCCACCCAGCATAGGAGGTAGGGTGCCCTCTGTGCCAAGCTGGGAGGCAGAGATGAAGGGCTATGTTGCCCTTCCTGCCTCCGCTTGCTGTGTGAGTCTTGCTTGTCCTACACTCCCTCTGGACCTCAGGCAAAGGACAGCCCCTGTCCCAGAGGACATTGTCTGAGGTCTGTGGGGGCACACAGACCTTCTCCGCTTCCCCTCCTCACCCAGGGCTGGGACTCAAGGATGGAGGTGGGGGCTCTCCAGGGACCCCCAAGCATCATCCTGGGAAGAGACCGGCTACAGAGAGGGGTTGGCACTGAGGTGCCCCAATGGTGGTGGCTCAAGGGCCCTTGATCTAAGCAGCGCTTCTGGGGTGAGGCCTTTGCTGCCCCGCTAGACACTCCTTGGCTTGGTGGTCGCAGGTCAGAGTGGAAAAACTCCCAGGCTACAGGATGGGGCGATGCAGTGATCAGGCCCATGGGCCCAGCTGTCAGTTCCCAATTCTACCCATGACAAGTTGCCCCGCCTGTGTGTGCCTCAGTGTCCTCACCTGTCAAGTAGGAATAAAAGTAGTGCCCACCACCCAAGGGTGACACTATGAAGCACTTGGTGCTACGCCTGGCGTGCAGTCAGGAATGCTAGCACTGGGCTTCTTGCTGGCTTTCCTGGTGGTCGGAGCAGGGAGGCAGGCTTCAGGGGCCCTTCTAGAGTCACCTCTGAGGCTGCTGGAGACAGGCTGGGGCCTGTGGAGTCCCGGTTCTGGGTGCTAGGTCAGGAAATGTGGGGGTGTCTGCCCCTGTGGCCCCTCCTACTGCCTGCCGAACAGGATGTCGTGGAAGGAGCCGATGGGCTTTGGAGTAGACGCGTGGGTTCCATCCCAGCTCATTCATATTCATCCCCCGCTGGCCGTGGGGCTCCGGCCCGATCATCCTCCGCTCCTCGGTTGCTTCGTGTGGTAGAATGGGATCAGGGCTGTGATGGGGATTAGGTGAGATGAGGCAGGAAGACAGCAGTATCCACGCCTGCGGTTTCCGGTCAGTGCCCGGCTCGTCCCTCTCCAATTTGATGCTGGGGCTGATGGCAGGGGAGGGAGGGGCTTTGGGAGTGAGTTCCTGGCTGGGCTGAGATGGCAGCTGACCTGGACGCTGCCCTCAGCACCATCTGGGGAGAGGGGAAGCGGGGGCTCAACAGGGAACCAGGACCCCGGAGTGCTGGAGGGTCGGAGCCAGCAGGTCTCCCACCCACTGCCCGCACTCGTGGGCAGGCTGCAGCCCAGAGAGGTGAGGCGCTGGCTCGGGGCCACACCGCAGTGAGTGGCCAGGCTGAGGGTGGAGACTTGCCGGCTTTCCTCTTGGGCACTTTCACTTCCCGCAGCCCCTGGACCAGCCTAAAGTGGCTGCTCTGAGCAGGATCACCCTAGGGCCTGAGCTGAGCTCATTCGTTCTGTTTCTCTCTCTCTCCCTGTCTCTTTGTCTCTGTCTGCCCACCCATCTCTCTGGCCCTGCCCCGTCTGTTTGCCGCAACCGCCTGTCTCTCAGGCCGCAGGAGAGAGCTGGCTGGATGGAAGCTGGGCACACAAGGGCAGGTGTGTGTGTATGTGTGTGCCCTCGTGATCTTTGTGCATTTGCTGGGTTTTGGAGCATGTATGTGTAAAACAATGCATAAGTATACAAACCCCCTTATACCTGGGGAACTGGCACATGCTCTCGGCGTGCACAGCAGAAAGGAATGGGCCACTGCCTGTTCCCAAGGCCTCCTCCCCAGAGGCTGTCACTGACCCGTGTTTCCTGGTACCTACAAACACACGTACACCATCTGTTCTTACCCAGGAGGGATTCTCCTCGCAGCTGGCCCTGCACCCTCCTGCGGCCCCTGATTGCACCCTGAGCACCCTTCTCAGGGGTGCGGCGGGACCTGGGTCCTAATCCACTTTGGAATGGGCTTTTCTTGAAAGGACATTTCCCTGTTGTGAGTGCCTGGGCTGTTTGCACTTTTTCTACTTTCACCCACTTCAGATCTGAAGTGTCTGACTGCAGAATCAAGCTCCTCTGACCCGGCACGCTGCCCTGGGGCACGGGTGGGCTGGTTTGAGGGGATCTGCTTCCAAGGCTAAGTGTGGACATCTGGGCTCCTCTCGCTGTTGGCTGAGCACTTTAGGCAGGAGCCCATTCTGGCTGGGATTCCTGCCTGCGGGCTCCCTGGGACTTGGGGAAAGGTAGGGTGTGGGGGTCCAGGGCCAGGACCCCTGGCTGTCTCTGGGGACAGAGTACCCAGGGACTTGGAAGGTGGTGCCGGGAGACCACGCTGTTCCCTGCTGTTCTCCACCTGCTGCATCCCAGGATCACTGGGCACTGGGCTCCTTGGGGCCACAGGGAGCTGCTTCGGGGCCCAGGAGCTTCCCAGGGTCCTTGAGTGCCCACAGGAGTGCCCGGGCCTTCCGGAGCTGGGGGTGGGGCCGGGTAGGCGAGTGCCAGGCACAGAGGAGGGAGGTGCAGGTGATGGAGCAGGGTCTGGGGCCTGGTCCCTGGCCTGTGGCTCTCATCCCTTTAGTCTTCCTCACAGGCTGTCTTTCCGCCTTGGGGCTGAGCCTGGGCCAGTCCTGGGACTTTTTTGTTCCCTTGGCCAAGCTGGAGATTCCTTGATGCTGTAGGGAGAGAGCCCTGGACAGGGAGTCCTGAGTCCAGCGTTCGAATTGCAGCTCTGTCTCTTGCCTTCTGTGGAACCCAAGTGTCAGGCCATTCACAGAGTCAAAGGGAATCATATCTTCCTTATATCAACACACCATGTGCCAGGCACTGCTCTAAGAACTTTATAGAACTTAGCAAAATCCTCACAACAACCCAGCAAAATAGATACTGTCACCATCCCTACTTGACAGGTGGGGAAACTGAGGAACAGAGAGGTTAAAGATCCTACCCACAGCCACACAGCGACTCGGTGATGAAATCAGGATTTGAAACTGGCCATCTGAACCTGACTGCCTTGCTGTGTTGGGCGCCCTTGGCAATCCCTGGAAGGCCAGTTATTGGGCAGAGCTGGTTCAGGCGGGTGCCCTGGTTTGAGCCTTGAGAGTGGTCCAGGAAGAAGGTCCTGGCATATGGTAGGGGTGGCAGTTTGGGATCAGGCCCGATTTGAGTGCCTAGCTGATTATTTACTGAGCAAGTGACTTCACCTAGCGGAGCCTCAATTTCCCCATCTGTAAAACAGGGTTAACAGCACTTCCTTGGCAGGGCTGTTGTGAGAATTCCGTGCAGTGAGGCTCAGGCGCTCAGCACATGGTGGGCCGCTGCCAAGGCCCCATGACCAGGTGGGAGGGAGGCAGTTCAAGGGACGCCTGTGCCAGCAGAGCTGAGTGTATCCCCTGGAGTGCGGGCCGCAGATCCCGTGATTGGGAGCTGATGGGCCCTGGGGTATGTGATGCCCCACCCCTCTCATCATCAGGCACATACCTGTCTATCTGGTACATCCATTGTGCAGCCGGGCCCAGGACTGGGGACATGGTGGTCATCTGTCTGTGTATGTATAAATGTGTGGGCTAGACCGCAGCCCCTGGGGGGATCATGCAGACATTCTCATGCACACACCCGGCCTGGAGAAACTCGTGAGAACTCCTGCTTGTGGGACTGAATCAGCCTTGGACAGCATCTCATCCAGCTCCCGCGCTGTGTGCATGAAACAGAGGTCCAGAGAAGGGAGAGGGGTTGCTCTGAGGTCCTCCATGAGTTGGGATTATCTGCAGTTTAATTGCTGGGTGGGGCCTTTTCTCGCTTTCTTTTTTTTTTTGAGACGGAGTCTTGCTCTGTCCCCCAGGCTGGAGTGTAGTGGCGCGATCTCGGCTTACTGCAAGCTCCGCCTCCCGGATTCATGCCATTTTCCTGCCTCAGCCTCCCGAGTAGCTGGGACTACAGGCGCTTGCCACCATGCCCAGCTAATTTTTTTTTTTTAGTAGAGATGGGGTTTCACCATGTTAGCCAGGATGGTCTCAATCTCCTGACCTCGTGATCCGCCCACCTCAGCCTCCCAAAGTATTGGGATTACAGGCATGAGCCACTGCGCCTGGCCGCCGGGTGGGGCGTTTTCTAAAAAATGCTGCCATAAGCCCTACCTGTGGTGGCCCCATCGCTTGTCCACATCCTATGGGTGGACTCTCTACAGAGCACGTTCCTCTATCTGCCAAAGCCAAGGCACTTGTTTCTTGATTTTCGTGTTGACTCCCTGGCTCCCCCATCACAGTGAAAGCACTGTGAGGCTGGGGACCTTGTCTGTCTTGTTCACGAATGTGCCTGTGGTGCCAGCACAGAGCCGGCTGCATGATAGTAGGTGTTCAACAAGCATTTGTTGAAGAATAAGTGGCCCTGTGGTCACGTCTGAAATGATTTCCAAAAATCGTGCCCTCCAGCTCGCTTGTGGTATAGCCTGAATTTCAGAGGGGCAAGGACTTTCCCAGAGCCTGAGCAGGTAATTGAACGCAGGCTTCCTGGCTCCCAGTCCCGAGCCCTCTTGTTCTGGTGTGCTCATGTACACATACGACACACACACACACGCACACACACAAGCACACACAAATGCACACACCCAGTAGGCCATGATCCAGAAACTTCCCTCTGATCATTGCTCAATTATCCAGCTTCAAATTGTCCATCTGTCCTCTTGGCCAAGGCCATGGGCTGCATGCCTACTGGGGCACCTGTTCTGGGCCTCTCCCAAGCCTGTGGCTGCCTGGAGGATGGGGCGGGAACCTTGGGAAGGTGGGGCTGTCCAGGTGACCACGGGTGCATTGCCTGCTTTGCCCAGTGGACTCTGTCTCCTGCTTCTGACCACGTCTCCTTCATCCCACCCTGAAATTCCACCTGCCCAAGCCTCCCTGTCCCCCTGCACCACCACCCTCCCATTGCTGGGCTCTCAGGCTTTAGGGGAAAGGGGTGTCATTCCCAGGGACCAGCTTCCCCCTCAGCCTCCCCCAGGAAGTCTGCCCTAATGCCCGGGAGGATGGTAATTAGTATGAGGCAGGCTGATTAGCTCAGAAATTAAGTCTTTGTTTCCCTCGCTCCCCAGTTTCCCTAATTGAGCAGATGCAGAGCGGGGGACGGGAGGGGCTGCTAGTGGGTCACGGGGCTGGGGCGGCACACGCGTGGCTGTGTGCTTGCTGCAGGGGCGGTGGGAGTGGGGGGTGGCATGGATGGGAGGCACTGTCTGGGGGTCCCTTTGCTCTCTGCCCTTTCCCTGATGGGGGAGCGCCAGGGAGGGTCACCTGGGGGTGAATCCCGAGATGTGCAGCCCTCTGGGGTGTGATTGAGCTGACAGGCACCACACCCCGGCACTCCGTTGTGAGTGCTTGTATGCAGTCATTCGTCCCCGTGTCCAGGTCTTCATATCCAATCACCGATCGTAACTGCTGTCACTTGTTGAGCACCTGCTGTGTGCCATCACTGGACTGGACAACTTTCACGTATCACCTCGTTCAGCCCTCGGGACAATGGTACAGATAGGGGACCCTTGTTTTTTATTTTTCATTTGTTTTATTATTTTATTTTTTGAGACAGGGTCTCACCCTGTTGCCCAGGCTGGAGTGCAGTGGTGCAATCGTGGCTCATTGCAGCCTCAACCTCCTAGGCTCAAGCGATCCTCCCATCTCAGCCTCCAGAGTAGCTGGGGCTACAGGTGCGTCTCACTATGCCCAGCTAAGTTTTTAAAAAACTTTTTTGTGGAGACAGGGTCTTACTATGTTGCCCAGGCTAGTCTCAAACTCCTGGGCTCAAGTGATCCTCCTGCCTTGGCCTCCCAAGGTGCTCAGATGACAAGCGCGAGCCATTGTGCCTGCCCAGGACCACCCCCCCTCCACCCTTTTTTTTTTTCCTAAAGGGAGGAACCTGGGGCTCAGAGAAGTGAGATGACTTGTCCAAGGTCACACAGTTCGGAGAGGCCAGGAAAGGGTTCAGATCCAGGTAGTCTCATGCAGCCCTGTCTCAGGCTAAGGGGGCTATTTGGGCAGGGAAAGGGGATCCTGCGATCACGTGGTGGTCAGTTCAGGTCCTGGATGCTAGGTTGAGGCCTTTGTCTTTCTTGTTTCTTATTCGGGCATCAGCACATCCCCCTTCTTGGGTCACTGGGAGGAGCAGTGACAATAACTGTAATGACAGCAGTGATGAATTATTTAGTGCTTGCTATGTCCCAGGCAGGTGACCCATGCCTGACATGTTTTCTTATTTCATGTTTACAGTGACCCCATGAGCCATGGGGTTGATACCTTCACTATCCCCATTTTACATTTTAAGAAGCTGAGGTGGCCAGGCATGGTGGCTCATGCCTGTAATCCCAGCACTTTGGGAGGCCGAGGTGGGTGGATCACCTGACGTCAGAGGTTCAAAACCAGCCTGGCCAACATGGCGAAACCCCCTCTCTACTAAAAATACAAAAATTAGCTGGGTGTGGTGGAATGCACCTATAATCCCAGCTACTCAGGAGGCTGAGGCACAAGAATCGCTTGAACCCGGGAGGCGGAGGTTGCAGTAAGCCGAGATCACGCCATTGCACTCCAGCCTGGGCAAGAGCGAGACTCCGTCTCAAAAAAAAAAAAAAAAAAAAAATGCTGAGGTTCAGGGAGGTGAGGGGCCTTGCCCTGGTTCCACAGTTGGTAAGTAGGGGACCCAGGATTCAGCCCAGGGCCTGAGGCCCAGTCCTTCCTTCTTGATCACCAGCAGGTAGCTGGAACTCCTGTGTCTCTGGGGCTCAGCTAAGGATCTGGGGGGATGGCCCTCCTCACAACAACCTATGTGGTAGGTATTGCTTTTATTCTCATTTTACAGATGGGGAAGTTGAGGCTCAGAGAGGTGAAGTGACTTGCCAAGGATCCCATAGCTGGTGAGGTGTTGGGTTCGGGCTTTGAACACAGGCAGATGTGGCAGGCTCCTGAGCACCAGCATCCACTCCCAGCTGCTGCACCTGTCCCTGAGCGCTGACCCTCCCAGCCTGGGTGTCAGCCGCTGCTGTCGGGCCAGCATCTTAACAGCTGTGTGCAAGGGATGCCTGAGTCTCCATCCTCCACTGTCACCTGCCTCTGGCTGTAGGACATTGCGTGTGGCCACCTGCTGACTGGTCACTCCTTTGGGGTGTTCCTCTGACCCCTAAAGCTCAACTGGCCCCACCCGGGCTCTGCCTCTGTCCTCCTGCACTGCTATTTGCCCATTCTCTGAGGCTCCCTGTTCCAGGGCAGGCACTACGCTCACTCAGCCACCCACCCAGACCCTGGGTGGCATCCCTGAACTCCCCCCTTGGTCTCTCTCTCCATCCTGCCCGACTCTCTTCGCTAAGCCTGACTCAAATCTGCCTTCATGTGCCCACCCTGCTGTCCTTGCCTGCACCAAGTCACCCTCCAGGCCCGTCTCGTTGCAGCCTCCTCACAGGCCGCTGGCGCCATTCCCGCCCCTCCGATGCATTCCAAACCCTTCCATTGGTGTCACCCCCCCAGCATGTCACTGGCTCCCCACTGCCCTTGGGCCAAGATCCAGAACCTTGAGATCTGCAAGGAGTTGGCTCGGCCTCGGGGCTCCCTCTCCTTCTGATGTTCCATTTATCTTGATCTCAGTTCTCCTGACCTTGTTCCAGTTCCTCAAAAGTGCCACCTTCTGGGTACCACATACGTGGTTCCCTCACCAGAATCACCCTCAGCAAAGCCTTCCTGGACCCCAGGACAGATGAGGCCCCTCAGGTGTCCTTGTGCTGGGGACGTCCCTCTCTTTCTCCCAAGAGCCCTTTGAGGGGAGTGGTGTTGCCCATTTTACAGACAGGGAAGCTGAGACTCAGAAGGCTAAGCTGGCAGCCAAACCCAAGGCTCTCTCATTCTGGGGCCTGTGGTCTCCTCGGCGTGTGCAGGTGCGTGTACACGTGTGCATACACGGCGGGCACCGCCGATGGCTGGCTGTGTGAGACCTCGTTTGGGCTGAGATGATGAGCCTCGTTGGGGAGAGGAGGTCCCGGATGGTCTCTGGGTGCCTGGCCTGCCTTTTCTGCCTTTTCCTGTGGTGGGGGTGAGGGCCTGCTATGTGAATTTGGGGCGAATGTCAGCCCCTCGCTAGACCCCGAGGCCGCAGCCTCCCAGGCCCTCTCGCTTCTCTCCCTTTGCTTCAAAACAAACACCCGGGAGCCCAAACCGCCCATCCAGCCAAGGCACAGATGGAGTTGGAATTAATTAGTCCTGTTGCCCAGGCAACCGGGACCCAGACCAGGATCCAGTCTTCTCTCGGCCCATCCCCACCCTCCGGCCCCTCGCTCGCCTTGCATGGCCCCGCCCCTTAGGAGCCTGGCCCTGCCCTCTGCCCTAGGGATGCCCTCGGGGACTCCTCCTAAATTGGGAAGGTGGTGGTAGGGATGTCTAGGAGCTGGGTTTCACTCTGGGCTTGGTGGGACCTTGGGCAAGTCCCTGCAGTGCTGGGAGCCTAGCTTTGTTCTGCAGAATGAATGGATGGACAGGTGCACCTGCCTGGGGGTGGGGGGAGGGGCATCATGGAGTGATACCTCATGGGGGACTTGCGATTGGTGAGAGAGGGAAGAATGAAAGTGGCCTCAGCTTGGGATGTTGTTGGGGAAGATGTAGCTGGTAGTAACTGGGATAGGCTGCGGCTATGGCTTTTTCTGCTCGATGCCAGCAGGAGGGGGCAGTTGTGGGCAAGTGAGGCATGGTCTCTGGCCCGGGCCATTCTTGGAAGTGGGCTCAAGTGGAGGATGTGGAGGAGACCTGAAGGGAACAGGCCACCTCTAACCCCCGTCTCCTATCTTTCAGAGTCCCCAGTGCTGTGCTCGGTGCACAGCAATGCCACCCTGGCTTGGCATGCCTCGGGTTGGCTGGGACGAGGCCCAGCTCATGCTCTGGCTTCTGCTCAGCCTCCTGCCTGGTCCTGGGACCCACCGAGCCCCTGGAGGCTGAACACCATCTCTCCTGCCACCTGCGTAACTGGCCATTTATTTGCTCCTCCAGCTGCCAGGGAGGCTTCCCTGAACCTGTCGTGGTGGCACAGGGGCTCAGGAGAGAAGACAGGCTGGGACTGGTGGCTGCACTCTCACCTTGGCTCCACAGCCCCTTCCTTGGGAACTGTGGGCAAGTTGCTGCCCCCCTCATGAGCCTCGGTTTCCTTATCGGTCAGCTGGGCCTAGTGATGCCTCTAGTGAGATCACCAGTTGGAAAGGCTTTTGAGAGGCAAGAACTAGGGGTGGGAAACTCAGACGCTCACCGGGGCCGGGTCACTGCAAGGCGCACGTCTGGTCTGTGTAGGGCAATAGGGTGTGGTGGGCCTGTGGCAAACTCCAGCGGTCAGTTTGGATGGCATCAAAACTCAAATGTGTGTCAACACGGAGTCTGCCAACAAAACCGAACCACAGGCTGCCTTTGGAGCTGCCAGCTTGCCCCGGAAGACAAACTCTACAAATGGATTAACCGGAGGGTATTTAACTCTTCTTTACATAATAGCATGGGCTAACATTTATTGAGGGTTTGCTCTGTGCCAGAGACAACTAAGCACTTTACTTGGATTATCTCCTCTGATCCTCCCAGGAACCCCAAAGCAGGCAGGGTGCAGCTACTGTTCCTACTTCATAGATGAGGCAATTAAACCACAGAGAGGTTAAGTCAGGAGCCCAAGGTCACACAGCTGTGGAGGAGGGAGCAGGGCTCACTCTTGGGCCTTCTGATTCCTTATCTGGGGCTTCTTCCTTCAGCCTCCCTGGGGCAGGTTGAGGCAAGGGCAGACCCCGCAGGCAGGGAAAGATGGAAGACGGAAAAGACAAGCTTTTCCCTTGTCGCCAAGGAGGCTGGGGGCGGGGAGAGGAGAAGCAAAATTAAACAAACGAAGGGTGTTGTGGAGCTGGGGAAGAATAACTTATTTTTTATGGGCTTGTTAACATTTGTGAAGTTAAGTAAGCAGAAATTTATGCCCCTCGTTTGCATGCATTAAAGGGAGGGCTGCCGGGCCGGCTTGGTTACTGGGAAACCTCACGCGCCTCCTAGGGCGGTGGCCCCCAGGCTCGCATTAGGCAGCTCCTGTGCAGGGATGGTTTGTTTGGGCTGTTTCTAGTGATTTCTGCAGGTCCAGCTGGGGCCGTGTTTCCTGAGGGCCCACTGTGTGATTGGCCTACCCTGGCTGCGGCCTCCTCCCTCCCTGCTGGGAGTGGAGCAGCTGGCCTGAATCCCATCACAGTGGCTTGGCCCTTAGTTCACTGGCTGAATGTTCTAGAAACTGTTCCAAGCCTCCTCAGGGACCTGAGAATGTGCAGGAGGCCCCATGACCACCAGCTTTGCTGCCTAAGAGCTGTGAGACCTGAGGCATGTTGCTTTGGCTCTCTGGGCCTCAGTTTCCTCATCTTTAAAATGAGGACAATGATAGTGTTATATATACTGCCCAACTGTGTGTCCCTGTCTTAGACACTGCCCACCTGAGATGACACTGGCTGGTTGGGGAGCTGTGCTCCCTTTGCTAGTTGACCTGCTTTTTGGAGACCCTTTGTCTCCAATAGGCCTGAGAGCTAGGTGACCCTTCCTCTGGAAGACCAGGCAGCCCCACCTGGCCTAGGCCCCACGGCCCCCGCATGTTCCGCTTGTAATTCCTGGTACCCTGTTTGACTGACTCCCTTGGAGCCGTGGGCTTCCTCAGGGCAGTGCCATGTCTGTTGAGGTCATTGCCAGTCCCCTGCACCGTCCCCAGGACTTGGCACAGAGCCAGGACTTGAGAATCGGTATGAAATGAATGACTGAATGAAATACTTAACCTGTGACCGTTTTCGCCACTTAGGGATTACAAGTCCCTTCCAGGTGTGTAGTGATTTATGGGTTTTGAAAGCACTTTCAGGCTAATGCCCTCGTTTGATCTCCACCTTTAGATCCCTCTACAAGAAGGCAAGGCAGGGCCTGTGTCCGGCATGGACTCTCTCACGCTTTTATTTGTTCAAGGAAACTCTTGAACTCCTGTTCTGGGCCGGGTGCTGGGACCCTGGCGGGGAGTGAGGCCATGTCCTTCCCTCCAGGGGCTCAGGGGCTGCTCCCAGCAGGCGTGCCCACCGAGGGTGGGTGGGGAGGCTGAGGGGGCCTTGGGGAGTCCTGGCACCCCTGCAGGCCTCAGGCTCCCATCTGTCTAATGGGTGACAGCGAAGAGGTTTAAGCTCTTCCAATTCTGCCAGGCTGTGATTCTTGGTAGTCAGGTTTGGTCACCAGGCACCTGCTAGGAGGCCCTAAGATGCCAGAATGCCTTTGCCCCAGCCCTGCCCAGGCAGCCCTGGCCCTCCAGGTGGCTGAGGTGCTCCTCAGGCACAGGTGTGTGGGCCTCCGGGGGTGAGGGGAGGGGACAACTGCCCCTGCTGCTACCCCCAGGCCCGTGTCAGTGGGGGCAGCTCTCTGTCCACAGTGGGAGTCGGCCTGTGGACAGAAGGTGAAGTCTGATTGGACCGGAGTGGGGTGGGATGGGGGTAGACACGAGGGGGTGGGTCAGCATCTCTGAGTGGAGTGGAGGGTGGTTGAGGCCCCTGACCTGGGAGGATAATAACCCCGCCTTTCCTTACATTCTTCTCCCTTGCACTCCCTTGCCCCTCCCGGTTTCCTAGGGACCTGCTGCATGGGCTGGGGACGTGGAGGGCTTGGCCTTTGGAGGCAGGGAGGGGGTGGTTGCAGGCCTCACCCTGCAGCAGCCTGGCTTTGGGCAGTTGTTTCCCTTCTCTGTGCCTCAGTTTCCTCCTCTGTCCTTTGCGAATGATGCTGGTTTGAGGGTTCAGTGGGTGCTGAGGAAGCACGTGGTCAAGCTCTGCAAGCCCTTCCTTCTTTCATTTACCAGGAGGAGCAAGGCGGCCATGGCGGGGAGGTGGTGGCTGGAGCAAGTGAGTGAGGTGGGAGGTGAAGAAGTGAAGTCTGGGAAGATTTTGGATACTATTCCAATCTCATGGGAGCCAGCAGCCGGTGAGGGCAGAGGCCGGTGGCCCAGGTGTGCGACGCAGGGGGCTCAGTGGGGGTGGGAGAGGTGGGCTGATGGTCCCCGTGGTCGGTGGAGGTGGGAGAGGTGGGCTGGTGGTCCCCGTGGTCGGTGGAGGTGGGAGAGGTGGGCTGGTGGTCCCCGTGGTCGGTGGAGGTGGGAGAGGTGGGCCGGTGGTCCCCGTGGTCGGTGGAGGTGGGAGAGGTGGGCTGGTGGTCCCCGTGGTCGGTGGAGGTGGGAGAGGTGGGCCGGTGGTCTCCGTGGTCTGATCAACTTGCTTGCTGTGCCTCCAGGCACTCAGGGGTGGCACAGGAGGGAGCATGTTTCCTCAGCAGACAGTTCTCAAGGAGCCAGTATGGGCCTGGGCATGAAAAGAGTCCCTGCCCTCAGGAAGCCCACACAGGGGCAGACTTGCCAGCCAGTCCTTACAGGGTGGCTGAGGCCTGGTGGGCTGGAAGGCTTCCTGTAGGAGGCAGCTTTGAGTCCTGCCTGAGAAGTAGCACTCACTGGGCGGGGATGGGACAGGAGGGTACTCCAGGCCGGGGAATCTCAAGGGGAAAGGCCAAGAGCTGCAAAAAGCCTCTCCGAGTTCAGAGAGGGGTAAGAAGCTCACGTGCCCATCCCTGGGAGTGGGGAGGGAGGATCCAGGAGTCTGGGGAGGACACCAGAGGCCCCTGAGCTCCCTCCGGGCCAGGAAAAGGCTGGACGCTGTGTCTTCCAGCAGCAGGGAGCATGTATGTGTTTGGGAACAGGCCAGGTGGATGCTGTGTTCCAGGAAGGAGCTGGTAGGGGAGCTGAGGAATTACAGGGGGTGTTTCTTGGAGGTGCTGTTCTGGGGTTGGGCTGGAGGTGGGAAGGTGGGTAAGGCAGGAGTGGAAGTAGAGGCCCAAGCAAGGGAGGAGCCTAGGAGATCCCGCACCAGCTGGAGAGGTGTACATGTGTGCACATGTGTGCACACATGACATGTGTAGATGCGTGTGTGTGCACGCCTGCGTGTGTGAAGCGGGGAGCAGTTTGTCTTGATGGTATTGGAGGGCACATTGCAGAGACAGAGCCAAGCCAGATCATGAGGGGCCTAAACTGTGGAGCAGAGGAGCTGGGGAGGCGCCAGAGGCTTTAGAGCAGGGCGGCGATGTGAGTGCGCTGCGGGAGGCTTCCTTGGGCTGCTGTGCAGAGGATGGGCTGAGGCAGGGTAGGCGACAGTCAGTTAGGAGACTGCTGTGCTGGGGGGCTTTACTGGGGTAGGGGGAAGGGGCCGGACAGGAGTGGGGTGGTGGAGCCCAGGGCGGCTCAGTGGAAGAGGTAGCATTTGATGAGAATGTAAAGGGTGAGAGGTTTGCTTTCTGGAAGTGGAAGGAGAGGCACGGCAGGTGGCTGGAACAGTCCCTACGAAGGCTTGCAGGAGGGAGAGGCCAGGCTGGAGGCCAGTATATTCAGGGGCCTTTGAGGAATAAAGGGCAGGTTGGAGTCAAAAAATAATGTTGTTTAGTGAGGCCCTCCATGTGCCCGGCACGGTCTACCCAGGCCTGAGCGCTAGCTCCACCGCCCACAGCTGCCTGGCTCTGGGTAAGGCGTTTGACCCTGGCACCTTCATTGTCTATCAAATGGGGACCCTGTTAGACTCAGCCTCCCAGAGTCACTGTGAGGATTAGATGCAATAATCCACCCGCAGCGTGGCCTGGAAGATGTTCGGCTGTTATTGGCTGTGTCCTTACCGTCTCATTTGACACAGCAACCCTGCAGGGCAGCCTCGCACCCCCAGGGACCAGTGCAGACGTCCGCTCAGAGAAGCTGCGCGGGCTGCCGAGGCCACACAGCTGAGGGGAACCGAGCAAGGGTCTGAGTCCAGGTTATGAGGACCCCAGACTTGGTGTTCTTTCCCGGGTGCCCACAGCCTCCCAGAACGCCTGTAAAATGCCCAGCCCGGTAGCTCGTTCCCCTCCTTGTGCTTAGGAAGCTCCTGGATCCAATGTAAGAAGAAGTGGGCAGGAGACCAATGCCGATCTCTGGGTTCAGGTCGGCTGCTTGCTCTTGGAGCCTCAGTTTCCTCATTTGGAAGTGAGAGCCCCACGTCCCCACATAAGAAGGTCACGCGGGGCTCCCACAAGGCCAGCAGAGTCAGCTGACCTTGGGGTCTAGGCGAGGCTTCCAGCAGGGGCTCTGTCCACGTTCCCCCTCCTTTCCCTGTCCCTCTGCACCCGTCTGACCAGACTGTCCTGTGGGCAGGGCCAGCATGGGAGCCATCGTACTGGACGGCTTCCTGATGGTCACAGCAGCCAGAAGGAGCTGGGAGGCCTGGCTGTCATCAGTCATAATAATGGGCACACTCAGCGTGGGTGGGGGTGAGCGAGTGGAGACGGATGCCAGCTGGGAATTACATGCCTGGGGGCCTATGTTGTTCTTTTGTGTTTTCAATTTTCACTCCCTGGGTGCCTTCTCCATGCCAGGCTTCTCACTGGGGGCACTGAGGGGGCACAGAGGGGCACGCCGTGCTTCCTGGCCCTCTGGAGGGGACACAGTGACCCTTCAGTGGGATGCCACTTGGAGCTGGTGAGCATGGGGGTGCTGTGGAGTGGAGTGGTGAAGCCAGACCAGGGATTCAAGGAAGGCTTCCTGGAGGCGGTGATGCCCGAGCTGAAGCTGGTAGGAGTTCACCGTGTTGGTGGTCACCCACCAAGAAGGAGCTTAGGCTCTAGCCCTGGGGCTGCAGGGAGCCCTAGAAAGATTTTGAGCAGGAGAGACAGCATCAGAGCTGCCCTCCGGAAGCCTCCCTCTGCCTGGAAAAAAAGGAGATCCCTGTGAGTGATAGGCAAGTGATGATAGTGGCCTGTCCTGGCATGGACTTGGAGGCTGGTCTGATCTTCATCTTCCAGTGGGAGAGGCAGGAGTTGACGGGAAAGCTGGGATCTGGGCCTGAGCAAGCAGGCAGGCAGTGGTGACCATGACCGAGCGCGATCTGAGCAGCCAGGGGCATGCATGAAGCCACCCTGGAGGAGAGGGCAGACGAGGGTGCCACAGGCCAAGGACAGAGCCTGGAGGAGCAGCAGTGGTTAGTGGGTCGGGGCAGGAAGGGGGCGCCTGGAAGGGAAGGGGGCGTGGCTGGGAGGCCGTAGGGCTCAAGGCTCTTGTCCTCTCTGGGTTCAGTTTCCTCACCTGCTGCATGACAGGGGCCTGGGTAGTGCTAAGGGATCTGCCAGCTCTGACCTCCTTCAAAGTGCCCCAGAGGGTCTGAAAGTAGATGGCACAAGGTGTGCCCGCTGGGGGATCCTGGCACCCAAGCAGCTCTGCTCCTGGGGTTTGGAAATGAGTGCGCTAACAGAGTTGGCTTCTGCAGCATTTGCTGAGCCTCTTCTGCACGCTGGCCCCATGTTGGGGGCCGGGGACATGGTGGGGACACAGCCCTCGTCCCACCCTTGGGGTGTGCAATACAGAAGCACCTAGAAAGCCAGGAGTGTTAGCTCACTTTCAGCAAACCCAATCTGAAAATTCAAGCTTTTGATGGGGAATTGGAGGCTGATACTTAGTTTATAAAATAATTCACAGGAAGCTTTCTTTAAATAGCAAAGTCTCTGGCGCATTTGTCCGTCTGTGAGTTCCTGGCTTGTCTTTGTGTTTTCCACGGTGTGCCTGAAATCCTAGGCTAGGTGCTCATCGGATGTGGAATGTCTGGTTAGCTGGATGCAGCCCCTTCCGGGGGTCTCCAGCCCTCCGGTGGTAGCGGGTCCTCAGAGGTGCTGAGCCTCCCACTTAACCACCAGCTTCGGGTATCTGGGGGCTCAGCTGTGTCCGTGACCCTTCTTCTGGCTTCCTGTTGGGTCTGTGGTGCTTGTGCTGACAGCAGACAGGGACCTGCACCCTGCTTGTCCCCTGAGCCCTGAACAGGTGGCTCCCTGCCCCTCCCACCCTGGGCCTCCCTTGGTGATGCCCTGCACGCCAGACACTAGTTTTGCAGGTCTTTGCAGCCCACGGTGCCAAGCCCAGGACCTGGTGTGTGGTGGGCCCCTGGGTGCACGGATATTGTGCCAGTGCTGACAGGACCCCCAGGTTGTCTTGTCCACATCCCCTGCCCCCCGTGGGTGAGGAAGCCAAGGCCCAGGTAGAGAAGGACTTTGCTCAGCTCCTGGCTGCCACAGAGCCAGCCAAGGGGTGCCTCTCTCCCTAGAGTGCCCCTGACAGCAGAGGAGGCTGGGAAGGAGATCTGGGCAGAGCTAGAGGGGACAACACCTTGGTGTGTCTCAGGCCCTGCCACTTCTTAGCTGTGTGCCTTTGGGAAGTGGCTTCACTGCTCTGGGCCTGATCCCTCGTGTCTCAGATGGGTAGAATAACAGTGCCCGTCTCCCAGGGCCGTGGAGGGGTTTTCATGAAGTGATTGATGTAAATGCCTACTTGGGTCTGGCGTGTGGTCGGCACTCGATTGATGCTCCTTGACTACTTCTAGGACGTTTCTTCTGGTGCTGGAACCAGGCACAGGCAGAGCCAGGTTTGAATCCCAGCCTCACCACTTACCAGCTGTGACGCTGTGAGGCCACTTTGTCTTTCTGAGCCTCCGTTTTCTCATCTGAGAAATTAATCCAACAATATTTATTTATTTATTTATTTATTTATTTATTTATTTATTTATTTTTGAGACAGAGTCTCACTCTGTCACCCAGGCTGGAGTGCAGTGGCGTGATCTTGGCCCACTGCAACCTCTGCCTCCTGGGTTCAAGTGATTCTCCTGCCTCTCAGCCTCCCGAGTAGCTGGGACTACAGGCGTGTGCCCCCTTTCCCAGCTAATTTTTGTATTTTTAGTAGAGACGGGGTTTCGCTATGTTGGCCAGGCTGGTCTCGAACTCCTGACCTCGTGATCCGCCCGCCTCGGCCTCCTAAAGTGTTGGGATTACAGGCGTGAGCCATTGCGCCTGGCCTGACGATCTTTATCTTGACACCCTGTAAGGTCGGGGGTTGGTGTTGAGTTTGCGGCAGCCAACCCAGTGCTCAGTCCCAGGCGAGGAGTGAAGAGTTCTTCATTTACAGCGTATGAGGCACTGTTGACAGTCACCACGGCCCGTAGGATGAAATTGCTGTCTGCACTCGATGGGGGCATTCCTTTAAGCTGCGGGATCGCTCTGCCTACTGTGTGCCGGGGCGGGAGCTGCGGGGGAGGACTCACGGTGCTGGCCACTGCGGCCCCCTGACGGTCCACGGGGGCTGGACACTCACCAAGGAGTCATCCTGGGAGAGGTGAGGCTGCCCGGGAGGAGGGCGGGAGGGAGCCTGGAACAGGCGGCCGGGCCAGGCCCCTGAGGGGCCTTGACCTTCAGGAGGACGTCTGGCTTTAGCCTGGGAACTGTGGAAGCGGCTGAAAGGGTATTAAGAAAGAGGCCTCGGTGAGTCCATAAAAGACAGCACCCGAGCCGAGCAGAGGGAGGGGAGGACCTTGGGGCACACTAGAGACCCTGGGAGGTGGGTGCTGCCATCCAGACAAGCTTGGACGGAGGGGCGGCAGCAGACACACAGGTGTGTGGCCTGGAGAGGTGTCGAGGTGGATGGGAAATGAGAGACGAGGGAGAGGGTGGAGTCAGACATAATTTGGATGATGAGACTGAGGCACAGAGAGTTTCAGTAAGGGGCCCACAGTCACACAGCCAGTGGGGCCAGGAGCAAAGGCTCCATCCCTGCATCTGTACGAGGTGGCAGCTGGGCCTGTGGACATCAGTCGCAGCCTGGTGTGCATGTTAGGTGGAGGTGGCAGGCGGGTCAGAGCCAGCAGGAGTGATGCTGGCGGTGGCATCATCACGCTTCATTTGCAGTGCTCCTTAGCGCCAGGCATAATGGAGATGGATTGGGGCATCTGCCAGCGAATGGGGGACCCGTTCCGTGTCGCCTGCAGCTCCATTAGGCAGAGATCGGGCCTATAAAGGAAGAGCTTGGGAAGAAGGTGCTGGAAGGAGCCAGGGCAAGAGGGTGGCCGAGTGCTGGGGCCTCCTGTTGGCACATGTGATGGGGACGCTCTGGGGACCCCGAGTCAGCGAGGCCTGGGTGCAGAGCCAGCTCCAGCCTGGCTTAGGGAGATGACTTGACCTCACTGGCCTCAGCTTTCCTATCTGTTAAGTGGAGGTTGATCTGAGGATGGGACCATATGGGACTTAGCGCAAGGCCTGGGGCGTGGTCCAGGCTCAGGAAGTGCTGGGTGCTGTTATTATTACTGTTGTCCTCATCGATACTGTTGTGTGGCAGTTGGAGTCCGGCAACTGGTGGGGGGTGTCAGTTGTCCTCTCTGATTTGGGACGTGTCATGGTCTGCCAGGCCCAAGCCAAGTTAGCCCGGAGATGCTGCCCTCAGGATGATGGGCCAGTGCCAGGACCTGAGGCCCACTGACTGCAAAGCCCAGGCCCAGGCCCAGGTGCGAGTGGAGGCTGTTGATGGGGGAGCATAAGGAAACCTCCAGAGAGGATCGGCTTCCATTCTGGGGAGGGATTACGTGAGTCCAAGAAAAGACACGCAGAGAAAGGACAAAGGATGAGACAGGGCCACCTTGACGAGGCCAGGTGGTGGTCAGAGACCATCCTTTGCCTGATTTTACCAGGTAAACATACAGGAGGCTCAGAGAGGGTGAGGGCCTGGCTCAAGGTCACACAGCAGCTGTCACTGGGAGCAGGCCTGCTAGCCCCGGGGCCTGGGCGCTGTCCCCCTCTGTGAAAGAGGGGTTTGATCATTTATCAGGGGAGTTTAATAATGAACGAAGTTGAAGTGTCTTTAATGCAGGCAGCAGGCCTGAAGTAATAAGGGACCCTGTATTAATTGAGAAGTTAATGAATATGCAGGTGTGTCTGAATGATTAATGGGGCTCCTGAAGGCCTTGGAAAGGGGTGCGTGAGCTGCTGCTGATGGAAATATGAATATTACATACATCTGGGAAGTCGGATAAACCAGGGAACAGATGGGCATTAACCAACCAGAGGTCTCTAGCAGCCACTGAGAGTGGAATATACAGATATGTGGGGGCAAATATACAGTGGCGTGGGGAGCACGCTCACTTTCTTGCAATGTGATCTTGAGGATGTCACTTAATCTCTGAGAGCCTTACTTCCCTTATCTGCAGAACGGGCATAAAAATAATACCTGGTTCTGGCCGGGCGCGGTGGCTTACACCTGTAATCCCAGCACTTTGGGAGGCCAAGGCGGGTGGATCACGAGGTCAGGAGATCGAGACCATCCTGGCTAACATGGTGAAACCCTGTCTCTACTAAAAATACACAAAAATTAGCTGGGTGTGGTGGCGGGCGCCTCTAGTCCCAGCTACTCAGGAGGCTGAGGCAGGAGAATTGCTTGAATCTGGGAGGCGGAGGTTGCAGCGAGCCCAGATTGCGCCACTGCACTCCAGCCTGGGCGACAGAGTGAGACTCTGTCTCAAAAAAAAAAAAAAAAAGAGAATCCAACAAACAAACAAACAAAAAACACAACAAAAAACTGGTTCCTAGGATCCTGAGGATGAAATGTGAGAGAATCCCTTAACAAGGGTGGGCTCACTGTGAGCATCTCACAAACACAGGTGAGCCTTTTTAGAGACGGGGGCAGAGAAGTGGTTGAGGAGGGCCAAGGAAAGTCTAACGGTAGCAGTTAAATTCCCTTAAGATGGACGGTGCTTCTGTTGCACTGACAGCAAGAAGGAAGAACAAAGATGAATGGCACTTTACAGTTTTTAAAGGGGAGTTGCCCGTGGGTTATCCTTTTCCTCCTCCTTGCAGCAGGTGCGTGGGGCAGAGGAGATGGGTCTTGGGGAAACTGAGGCTCTGAGGGGGCCGGTCACTGCCCATGTCACCCAGCCACGCGAGGGCCAGTTGGGCTCAGGCCCAGGTCTGCACCCCTTCCTCCTGAGTCTCAGAGGATGTGGGACCCACGCACTGCCTGGGAAGGCCCTTTCCAATATTTGCCAGGCCTGGGGCTGGGCACAGGTCATTTCTCAGAGCCTCAGTTTCTCTCCCTGTCATGTAAGGGTCTGTCTGCCGTTTGGGGTTGTTTTGAGGCTCTGATGAGGAAGTGGGACACTGTCCCTTCACCTATGCCTGGCCTTCGGGGAGTCCCAGACACCGTCCCTTTGATGGTCAGACTGCTGTATCAGCTGGACTTGTATCTGGGGAGTCATGGGTGCTGAGCCACTTTAGCTGTGGGCTCTTGGGCATGTCTCTTATCATTTCTCAGCCTCAGTTCCCTCATCCTTCAAGCAGGCATGACAGTGTGGCTGCCATGTGTGAAGTGTGCGGGGGCCTGGCACACAGCGGGTGCCGGCGCGGTGTGCTCCTCTGTTCCTGGGCCTGTGTCATGGCCCTGTGCGTGGTGGCTCTCTTGTGTTCCCAGGGTGATTTTCAGCCGTGGACGTGTACAGAGAGCCTACTGGGACGGTGCCGGGCCCTGGGTTTACAGGGTGAGTGAGACTGTCCACACTTGGTCTTTGTCCTCTATGAGGCTGTGGTCCAGGCAGAAGGTGGATGTAAAACCAGTGTCCCTGTCATGCGACCTGGGATGGGGGTCGGGAGCCAGAGGATGGCCCCCACGCAGCCTTGGGCGGATAGGGAAAGAGATGCCCATTCATCTCCCTGTCATCCCCACCAGAGCCCCAACCAGAAGGCCTGGCTTTGGCTGTGGGTCCTCCACTTGCGGGAGGCCGTGCTCACAGCATGGCTGTTTGAATGGAGAGAGAGGGAATGAATGAATGGCTGGCTTCTAGGCTCCTTTCTCTGCCTCTTGTCAGCTCCAGGCTGGTGAGCAGAGGCATAGTCTAGCCCCTCGCTTGACTGTCTCAGGTATCCGGGGTGATCCTGTTGTACATCCTTCTCTTCTCCCAGGTCTCTGCCTGGGCCTCCAGGGCCTCCCCCTGGGCCAGCCTGGCTGGGGTCAGAAAACTGTGTGTTGCTGGGTAAAGAACCTTCTGGCAGTCATGGTCATGGAGCAGCCTGCTGTTGACAAGCAAGGAAACCGAGGCCCAGAAGGGAGAGGGGTGGCGGGAGGGGGCAGGGCTGGGGTTAGAACCTCTGTCTTGGCTGTGCCAGGTTGGCCGCCCTGCAGTGACCAGCCTGCCCGTGTATTTATAGTCTCTACTGATCTATATTAACACCCAGGCCTGCCCAGGCCTTTGCAGCTGCGGATCTGAGGATGCCTTTGAACCCTCTGGGGGGCTGTGGAATCAGAGCTCACCCCCATGGGGAGGGGAGAATGCGGCTTCTCACCCTTCCCTTCACAGCTCTGGGGCTCACGCTGGGCCCTTTGCCTGCAGAATCTTTGCCAGCCTGGGTAAGGTTTGGGCCACCCTTTGGTGGGTTCAGCTTCTTCATCTGGGGTTCATTATCACTCCTTGCTTCCCTCTGGCTTGGCAGGGAGGCCGTGTGTACAGCATGAGATCAATGCATGGGCTGTGTGGCCTTGGGCAAGCCAGGCCCCTCTCCAAGCCTCAGTCTCCTCATCTGTAGAATGGGCATCATTCGCACCCGACTCTCCTGTGTCAGGCGCTGGGCACTCCATGCTTGTGAGCTGGGGTTTACTGTTTACACTCCTCACATCTCTCTGGTCCTCATCACAAGCAGTCCTCAGAGCCTGGAGGGACCGGAGTGTCATCTCCATTTGACAGATGAGGCCAGTGAGGCCCTGCCGCAGTGTGACTTACCAGAGCCATGCAGCCTGTTGGGGCAGAATTCGGACTCATCTAAGTCTGAATGTTCCAGCTTCCCAGGCCCCCTCCCCAGGGCCCGTGGGCTCCTTGGGGCAGGCCAGGTTCCTCACCCCACCAGCTTGGTTCCCACCCCCCTGGTCTTGGGGAGAGCTCCACTAACTCTATGCTTTTCTTACAGAGCAGAGACGACTGGCCGCCCTGAGCGCAATTCAATTCAACAGACATTTACTGAGTGCCTACTATGCGCCAGGCCTTAGGCTGGGCACTGGGGGAGGGGCGCAGACAGGAAGATGGGGTCCTGTCCTCAGGTAGCTCCAGGCAGGGGAGGGGGCATGGAGAAGACAGGCAAGGGCTAAACAGCTCAGCACCAGGAGAGAAGCTGCTTGGTGGGCTGGATGCAGCAGAGACCCGGGTTCAAGTGCATCACTGGAGAGCTGCTGTTCCTCGTCCGCACCTCAGTTTCCCCTACTTGTAAAATGGGGGAGATGATCTCTAGGACCCATCCAGGATTCCAAGGGCTATACCTCGGGGTTGTGGGGGCATAGCAGGGGGGTCACCCTGCAGAAGGGAGATCTCCAAAGGCTTCTCAGAGGAGGAGGCATAAGGTCTCGGCCCAGGGGATGGGGACAGGTGGGAATGGGTCCCAGGGTTAGTACCAGCTAATCGCTGGTGAGTAACGGCCTGGTGGATATGGGTGTGGGCGTGCCCTCAATTCCATAGGGTTGCGAGGGGACATGGTGGGGTGTGAGCTTAGAGAGGGAGAGAGGGGTTCTAGGGCCACAGGTTGGGTTGTGAGCTCTATTCTGGGGCCAGTGGGAGCCATTGTGGGCTGTTGAGGGAGAGTCAGGAACAGCTGGTCCTGCTCTGTCTCACCCTCTTCTCTCTCCCTCTCTGGGGCACACTTCAGGATCACATTCCCATAGAACCTTGCAGCCATGTGGCCTTGGCAGCACCTGCACTGTGCCAGGCACTGTGTACATTAGTCCTCATTGTGGCCCCAATTGACAGAGGAGGACGCCAAGCTCTGAGAGGAAGCTCTTGCCCAAGGTCATAATCTGACTCCCAAGCCCCGCATGCTTCTCCCACTACCTCCCCCTGAAAGAGTTCCTATTCTCTGTGACCTCTCCCATCCTGGGGACGCCCCCCACGAAGCCCCGGGGAGTGCCTGCCAAGGGCAATGCAGTTGGATTTGGAGGGTGAGGTCAGGAAAATCCCAGATGTTAGCAGGACTGGCTTTCTCCAAGACCTGAGTTTCTGCCCTATCAGCCACCCTCTGGGATAGAGAGTGAGGCGGGGCTCCTTCCCACTTTACAGATGAGAAGACTGAGGCCCTGAGAGTCATGTGGCTAGTCCAAGGTCAAACTCAAGGGAGTGACAGCCTAGGCTAGAAGCTGGTCTCTTTATTGCCCAACTGAGGCTGGAGGGAGGCTGAAGTCCCCTGAGATCTGTGCAAAAGCTGACCCCTCCCCGACTTCCCCAGGGAGCAGAAGAGCCCAGAAGAGCACTGGAGTCACAGACCTGGTTCAAATCCTGGTTTTGTCTTTTGCATGAACTGTGTGATCTGAGCAAGTCATGAATTACTTGGAGCCTCGATTTCCTTATCTATATGAGGGCGGCGAGCTGGCCTCCTTCACTCAGCCATGAACAAATATTTATTGAGCACCTACTAGGAGAAGCAGGACCCTTCCTCGGGGAACTCAGTCCAGAGGTAGCAGCAGCAGTTATGATTCCGGTTGTGATGGAGGAAGCACAGGGGGCTGTGGGAACCCACAGGAGAGACCCCGGCCAGGTTGGAAGAAGGCAGGCAGGTAGGAGGGCAGAACAGGCAGCGGCTCCCACAAGACCATGTGGGCTGGGCTCTGGATGCTGTTGGAATTTTCCCAGATCAGCCCGAGCCAACGAAGACTTTTCAGCAGGGAGTGCCATGCTCAGGTTGATGTTCTAGAAAGTTCATCTTCTGCTGGGTGGAGGGGGCATGGAGTGGGGAGGTAGGGTTGGAGGTAGAGAGACCAGCAGGAGCAGTAGGGGGAGGCGGCGGCACCAAGGCGGGACTAGGGGCAGGTGGGGAGGTGTGGGTGCCTCTCACTGTGTCTGGGAACTGGGAGAGAAGCAGGGGAGGAGGGGGAAGGGGCCGTGGGAGATGAGTCCAGCCGTGGAGGTGGACATGGACGAGTGAGTTTCAGGTGCCAGGGAAGGGCCCCGGAGGCAGCTGGGTACGGTGGTTTGGGTGTGGTCAGCCCAGAGCTGACATTAGAAGCCTTGGGAAGGGTTGAAGGGCTCTTGGGGTAGGGGAGGGGGAAGCGGGTTTGAGAGAGGCAGTGAGCAGGGACCAGGACATCAGGGGAGGCCACTGCTTGGCTTACAAGCAGAGGAGCCCGAGGGGCCGCGGCCTGGGAGGTCGCGGGAAAGCAAAGCTGCAGGTCCCCAGCCCAGGAAGAAGGTGGCAGGACTTAGGTCTGTGGGGAGATTTCAGAAGGCGACATGTCAGGCGCTGTGCCTGGCACCAGCGCGGACGAGGTGCCCAGGAGGGTCAGCTCCTGCATCTTTTCACCTGAAGGCAGAAGCTTAGTCTGTCCCTTACCCTCCTGAGGAGGACGAGGAGGCTACAGAGGGGGAAGGTGTCAGGGAAGGAGGAAAAGGGGAAAAACATTTGCATGCATGACAAGGCTGAAGTGAGGGAGAGAGAAGGGGGGAGAAAGAGGAAAATAAATTACCATACACCAGGATCTTGTTATTCAAGCTAATTTTCAAAGGACCACAGCTGTCACGCTGAGATAATTCGTTAATTATAACAGCCATTGTGCTTTGGCGCTGGGAGAGAAACCGAGGCCGGGGAACAGGCTGAAGGTGGGGGTGGGAGCAGGCTATTGGGGGGCCTGGACATCAGAGAGGGGACAGGGACAGAGGCAAAGAGGGGTGTGTTGCCCTCGGGACTGAAAGGAAGACAGGCCAGGCCCCATCCTTCCTCACTGTCATGGTTGCGGTGGGTAATGAGGTCCTCCTGCCTGCCTGGCGTGTGCCACGGTGCCACGCGCCAGACCCTCACAGCGATACCTGCAGGAGGCAGCTTCCTGGAGCTGTGACCCTGCCCAGACCCTGGCCTGTGGCCATCCCCCTCCACGGCCCTCTGAGCTGGTGCCCTTCTTGTCCCACTTTACAGAAGAGGAAACCGAGACCCAGGACAGATTAGCTTGCCAGGACCACGGGGTGAGGTGGCATAGCCTGGATTCGAGCTGAATGTGGACCCTGCGCTTTGGCAGCACGTTAGGGAGGGCCGGTCTTGGTGGACTGGCCACGCGGAGTTGGTGGCCACAGCAGCTGTCACATAGATAGCCTCACGTTTGGGCTGTGGTTTCTGCCCAGCCGGCGGCCCTCCCCGGGGAGTTTCCGGGGCTCGATGTCGACCCCTCTGCACCGACAGAGCCTCCTTGTTCTCTGCTGCTGCAGCTGCAGGCCCCCCGTAGCCTCAGAGGCGGCCGTCAGTGTGGGCTGGACCCTCCCACCTCCTCTGGAGAAAGCTGGTCTCAGGGCCAGGGGGAGGGAATTTGGGCCACCCCAGCTGGTGTCCATACTGACCCCTTGCGATCGCCTGGTTAGAGGTTCTGAAGCGACAGAAGCTGAATGGGCTGTGGCCTCAGGAGGGGTTTCTCAGCCTGGGCCTAGAGGGCTCCAGGACCCTGGGTGCTGGGCCATGCTAGGGACAGGGGGCTGGGGGCGTAGCAGGCAGGTGTCCCAGTCCTAGGTGAGCAGAGTGAGGGAGTCCATGGGGAGAGGGGTGGGACCAAGGAGCCATTCCAGAAACCCCAGGGCCCCTTGGTGAGCTGTGGTGTGGCTTCAGGAACTCAGGTCTCCTGGTGTCCACAGTGGCCATGCTTGGAAACAGCACCTAGGCTAGGCCAGCTGGCAGTGTTCTGTGGGGTGGGAATAATGTTTGGGAGAGGGTAACCCTCAAACCCCAGTAGGAGTCCCAAACTTGACCCAGGCAGGAGAGAAGTGGGCCCCACAAGGTGACAGGTGGGCCTGGGGTGGCTGTGTGGGAACTCCCTTGGTTGGGGACCTCTCCCCAGTGGGGCCGCATGGAGCCAAGGGGAAGCTGTCAGAGGGTCAGGACAGCTTAAAGTCCTGTAGAATTGGTGACCCACAGAGGCCAAGACACAGGAGACTTTTAGGACCAAATAAATGGTAGATACATCCTAGAATCCTTGAGCCCCAGACTCATAACTGGAGACCTCCCTCCCTAAATGACCGATCCATGCTGTTAGTATCCTGGTACTAAAACCCAGGAGCCATGGGTCAGGAGGATAGGGGAGGGGGGCTCGAGGTCAGGCAGGGGTCAAGTACAGGAGGCAGGGATCGGGGCACCCTTGGGTCCCAGGCTGAGAGGCTCATAGGAATACCCCTGACAGGCTGGGTTTCTACGTGTCCCCACTCTGGGGTTCCCCCCTTGTTGCTGGCCTCATAAACTCCAGTGTGCAGGGGTCAGCTGGCCACCTAAACCAGAGAGGCAGGGAGGAGGTTGGATGCTGCCCCGGCCTGTGCCACTGCTGTGCCTCCGGGGACGCAGACCCAGGGAAGCCAGATCTTCCCTGTATCTCAGTGGATTCCAGAAATGAGGATTTTTGAAATAAAATCTGCCAAGTTTTCAATATTGGCAACTGATTAAAAAAATGTGAAAACCACCATCCAGATGAAACAGGATCCCACAGCAGCTCTTGAACGGAGCCTGGGGCCGTGGAGGCTGGAAGCCACTGTGTAGCAGTTGTGAGGCCTCAGTTTCCTCATCTGCAAAGTGGGAATAGTGATAGTGCTTTTAAGATGTTTAAAGTTGGCTCAGGATTAAATGAGTTAATATGGGAAGTGCGGAGGCCCAGCCAGTGCAAGCACTGAAGACTTTTCATCTTGTCGGAGGCCGCCCATCCCTCCCCGGGCTACCTCTCAGGGGGCTTCGCTGTCCGACACTGGAGCCTCCATTTCCCCCTTGCGGTCCCCACATGCACTGCCCCTGTCTTGGGACAGCCCTGAGGGTACTGGAGGGCAGGGAAGCGTTCGCCCCTTGGGACCCTGGGGGAGGAGCAGGTGGAGGAGGCAGAGCCAGGAGGGCGGGCCTAGCCGGCGCCTGGTACATAGTAGGTGCTCCATAAATGTTTATTGAATGAATGAATGGAGGCCATGCAGGCAGAGGCAGCCGTGCTGCGCAGGCACTGGTGAAAGAGCGGGTCCAGTGGACACTGGTGAGTAGTGCCCAGGGGCTGCAGCTGAGGGGGCCAGCAGGGGCCGGGGGGAGGCGAAGGTCAGGTCGGGAGAGGGCAGGGGTCAGGAGTGGGAATTGGGGTCAGGTGGGGAGAGGGCAGGGGTTGGGAGTGGGAAGCGGGGTCAGGTGGGGAGAGGGCAGGGGTTGGGAGTGGGAAGCGGGGTCAGGTGGGGAGAGGCCAGGGGTCGGGTGGGGAGAAGGTAGGGGTCAGGTGGGGGAGGCAGGGTCAGGTGGGGGAGGCAAGGGCAAGTGGGGAGTGGCTAGAGGTCGTGGGGGGTGGGGAGGTGGGGTCAAATGGGATGAGGCCAGGGGTCAGGTTGGGAAGGTGGGATCAGGTGTGGGAGGCACAGTCCATGGGGGAGGTGGGATCCAGGGGAGGAGAGGTAAAGGCCAGGTTGGGGAGAGAAGGGGTGAGGGAGGCAGTCTCCTGAGTAGCTTGGAGGATTCTGGGAAAGCCAGGAGGTGGGTTTTTAATACAGGTCATCCTTGGCTGTGGGACAATCCTATCCCCAGGTGCCTGGTGGTGGGTGGGCTGGGGTGGGGGTTTGCCAGGGAGTGGGCCCTGCTCACGGGCCATGTGGTTACAGCTGCCCCTAGAACCAGGCTCAGGTGTCTCCTGTCAGGCCACAGGGTGGTTTGCCAAGGCCAAGACCTTTGGTAAAACCTTCCACCCCCTGCCTCTCTCCTTCCACCAAGGCCTGGACATGGAGTAGGTAGTAAAGATGACTGTGGCACCCTGTGAGCAGGGGAGGCACGGGGACCGGGTGAGCCATGGGGGGGTGACACGGTGGGCAGGTGACAGGGCTTTGGGGTGGCCCCAGCAAACCAGAGACACATGTGTACTGTGGTTTTCCTCCAAACAGATGAGGAAACTGAGGCCCAGGGAAATGAGGTGCTGACTTGCCCGAGGTCACACTGCGGCTCAGCGGCCCAGCCCCATGCCCCTTCTTTGGCTGAGGTTACACCTGGAGATGCGCGTCCAAAGCACCAAGGCCTTGCAGAGACCCTGACGCCTTGGCTGTCAGCTGTTGGTGCTGTGTGGTTCTTGTTAAGCTCTTTTGAGTAAGAAGGCAGCTTAGTGAAGGGGAGGCAAATCTGTCTGTCCCAGGGCCAGGGGCATAGTAGGTGTTCAGGGAATACATGTGGAACGCGTAAGCAACGTGGGTGGGTGTGCGGCTGCTTGGGCAGCATGCCTCACCCAGCCCAGGGCTGAACTGCAGGCAGGGCCCCTAGCCTGGGCCCGGTCCCTGTTTCCCTGTGACACAGATGCAGTCATGGCCTGCTCACCCAGTGCAGGATGACACAGAGCCCGGAGCAGGTGCCAAAGCAGTGAGGGGCAGGAGCCAGCTCCCCCGGGACCCAGAGCAGCTGGTGTGCAGGGCTGAGACTAACAAGACATGATTGAATGGGGGTGGACGAACACCCAGCACCTCAGAAGAGACCTAAACAGATACTGCCCAGAGCTGCCCGTGGACCTTGTGAGGGCACCAGGGCTGCCTGGCCGTGTGTGTGAAGGGGCCTAGAGGTTTGGTTGACATCTAGGACAAGGTGAGGACAGGACGCTGGTGCCTCCTTACTCTCACCGCATGAACAGAAGCAGGGAGCCCAGCCGAGGGAGGTGGAGGCTTCTGGAGCTGATCCTGCTCTGAACGCATCGGCACTGGTGCTTGGCTCCAGGCGACACGTTGTAAGAGGGACCTTGACAGCAAGCATGACCCGGGCAGCTGTACCCAAGGGCAGGAGGGACTTGACACCACAGCGAAGGAAGAGCAGGTAGAGGACGTGGTGCTGTTTAGCTTGGATAAGCAGAGTGATAACAGACCAGGAGATGTCAGAAGGGTCTTTATGGGGTACTGGCCTCGTCCCTAGTGGCTCCAGAGAGCAAGGTGGCACCCATGAACAGAAGCACAAGGAACCAGACTTGGCTTTGTAATAGAAGAAGAAATTTCTAGTAATCAGAGCTGTTCAAGAAGGGAATCAGGGCCAGGTACGGTGGCTGGGTGTAATCCCAGCACTTTGGTAGTCGTGGGCGGGTGGATCGCTTGAGCTGAGGAGTTCAAGACCAGCCTGGGCAACGTGGTGAAACCCCATCTCTACCAAAAATACAAAACAATTAGCTGGGCGTCGTGGCATGCGCCTATGGTCCCAGCTACTTGGGAGGCTGAGACACGAGAATTGCTTGAGCCCTAGAGGCAGAGGTTGCAGTGAGCCGAGATCGTGCCACTGCACTCCAGCCTGGGTGACAGAGCTAGCTAGAGTCTGTTTTTAAAAAAAAAAAAAAAAAAAAAGGCCAGCGTGGTGGCTCACGCCTATAATCCCAGTACTTTGGGAGGCCGAGGCGGGCGGATCACAAGGTCAAGAGATGGAGACCATCCTGGCCAACGTGGTGAAACCCCGTCTCTACTAAAAATACAAAAATTAGCTGGGCGTGGCGGCATGCACCTGTAGTCCCAGCTACTCAGGAGGCTGAGGCAGGAGAATCACTTGAACCTGGGAGGCAGAGGCGGCAGTGAGCAAAGAAAAGGAAAAAAAAAAGGAGAACCAGTAGCTTTAGGTGGGCGCTGAGAGCCCTGTTACTGGAGGTCTGCAGGTGACGGGACATCGTCTTCCAGGGAGGAGCCTTGGAAAGTCTGCTGGTTCCACTAGCTCAGGCTGGCCTGGGTTCTTGGCTGTGTGGTCTTGGGTGCATCACTGCACCTCTCTGAGTTTCAGTTCCTTGCCTGTAAAATGGGAGGCATAAGGACGGCCGTGAAACTAAAAGGAAGGCTCGGCACATTTTGTGCCCCATCATGAGCACCCCATCACAGGGGGGGCTTCTCCCTCTGATATTGAAGATTCTTTTTTTTTTTTTTTTTTTTTTTTTTTTTTTTTTTTGAGACGGAGTCTCACTCTGTCGCCCAGGCTGGAGTGCAGAGGCGCGATCTCGGCTCACTGCACGCTCCGCCTCCCGGGTTCATGCCATTTTCCTGCCTCAGCCTCCGGAGTAGCTGGGACTGACTCAGCCGAGTCAGGGGATCCAGGATCTCCCCACCATCCCTAGCCTGGAGCTCTCACTCCACACAGCATGTCCTGAGAACCCGCTGTACGTCTGACCCTGTTCTAGGCATGGGGGTTACAGCAGTGAACAAAGTTAAATCCTGCTTTGCTTTTCTGCTGGGGGTGGGGCAAGGCAGGGCGATGATGAAGAATTAAGTGACGTCAGGTAGTGCTGGCTGCTGTCAGGGGACCGAAGCCTGGGTTGGGTGAGGAGTGAGTTATCTCAGACTGGGGGGCTAGAGAAGGTGGGGGTCAGGGGCAGGGAGTGGTTGAGCAGAGATCTCAGGTGGATTATGGGGATTCTGGGGGAAGAACATTCCAGGCAGAGAGAAGAGCAAAGGTCCTGGGGTGGGGAGTGTGCCTAGGGGTTTGAGGAGCACAGCTGGCCTGGAATCAGTACTTCCTGATTGATGGAAACATCGAAATCTCTCGAGGCTTGTGGACAACTCCCCCTTGCACGCTTTCCTCTGACAGGGGCAGAAAACCCAGTAGACTGGCTCAGTGCATGTCCCGCCCCTGCCATGGTCCCAGCCCTTTGGAGGGAAGCCGGGGAGGAGAGAGCCTCTGTCTTCTCATCTGTAAGATGAGGCTGACAGCACCAGCTGTGTGGGGTTGATATAAGATTCGAGGAACATCAAATGTCAGACACAAAGGAGCATTGGATAAGGGGTATATGACTGTCTTAGAGGCCAGGAGACTGAAGCCCAGAGGAGTTAGGTAATGTGCCTGATGTCACACAGCTCAGCATTCAATCCCAGGACCCTTCCCCGCACCATCTATGCCCTGCAGTAAGGGCTCATTGTGCTGGAAATCCAAAAAGTTAACTTACCGAACGGTAGTTCCATGGTGAAGGTATAATCCTCCCATTTTACAGACAAGGAACTGAGGCCCAGGGAGCTCCATGACAAGGGAGCTCCAAGGAGCTCTAGGCAGTGAAAAGACTGGTGTTCAGACCCCCGGCTTGAGTCTCTTCCCCGGGGGGTGGCAGGCTTTGTCCCTGAGGGCAGAGTTCCTGTCCTGGTGCTAGGGTTCCAGCAGCAAGGGGTGAGGCAGCTGCCTACCTGAGAGATCTGGCTGGGCCCCAGGAGTCCTTGGTCCTCCTAATCCTCAGTAATGGCAATGACACGGATGGTGACAATGACACCTCCGGGAGCCTTGGCCAGCCTGGCTCAGGGAAGAGCCTGTGCCAGGGCTTATGAGCTGCTGCAAATGAGATTTCCCTGGCCGAGCCTCACGTCCCTGCTCCTGGGAGGCCAGGACACAGACTGCGCTTCCCCCCACCTGCTCCTGGAGCTGACGGGTGTCCCTGCAAGAGTGTGGCCACACAAGCGGGAGCCTGGGGTGGTGTGTTTGTGGGGCCTCCTGCCCTGGACTGAGCGTGTGTGTCTCTGTCATGTCTGGGATTTCGGGGGAACTCTGGAGCTGGGTGGTACTCACCTTGCCACACGGGGAGAAACAGGCTCGGAGAGGGCCTGCAGCTTACCTGGGTCTCAGAGCTGGTTGGGCCTGCATCTTCCCTGCTGACCTCCGCTGCCTGCGTCCCCAGCTGGCCTCGCTCTGTTCACCCTCTCACCCAGCCTGGGGAGTTAGCCCAACCCCCCTCAACCCCTCCCACACGCCGCAGTGCAGTGGGGGCTCTCCCCGGGTCCGGGGTCCAGACGCTCCCCTGACAGGGAAGCTTGGGAGTCAGCCTATAGCGGGGGGCTGAGAGGATGTGACCCGGAGGTTCAGCAAGCCTGAGTCCAGGGGAACCCTGATCTTGGGTGATGAGGGTTGTGAAGAAATAACTATAAAACCCCCATTAACAACAGCGGCTGTCATTCACAGAGGCCAGGCGCTGTGCCAGGCTTGCCCTCCGAGGGGGGGCAGGGGTGGGACTGAGCCAGGACTCCTTGTCTTCTCAGTTCTGAGTCCAGAGAGGGGCCCGGGACCTAGGAGCACCCGGGCGGAAAGGGCACAAACCCAGCGGGATCACTGGGCAGCTGACTAACCGGAGAGGGGAGGCATTTGCTGAGAGTGACTTTGGGGTCTGTGGTCCTGCCCAGCTCTGAACTGAGACCCCTGCACCACCAGCTCTGCCCTCAGAGCAGCAAGTGCTGTGAGGTCTCACTGACTCTCCTCTCTGCCCATGAATGTCCCCATGAGAGGGGACGTCCTACAGCATGCAGCCTGCAGACCGGGAGCCCCCGATAACAGCATGCACCCTGGCTGTGCAGCTGTTTCTTCTGTGGTGGAAGGAGAGAGTGCCCCTTAAAGAGAGCTGGTGGTGGGGCACTTGGGGCCTGAAGGGAGAAAAGCTCTAGGGGAGGGGTCCAGTCAGGCCAGGGCACGGGAGCCCTGCTCTTTGCTGGAACATGCCACCCCCCAATGCCTGCTTGCCTGCATGGCTGCACCCCTCCTGGGCTGTGCCACCGGGCTCTGGGCAGAAGAGGCCTCTGCGCCCCACAGCTGCTTCCACTGCTCCCCTCTCCCTCTGGGCTGGTCACAGGCTGCATTCTCGTGGTTCAGCCAGACCAGGTGTCAATTGTCTCCCGGGCCTCTGGGCTGCGGGAGGGAAGCAGGTGCCCGTGTCCCCTGCGCCCCCCATCTATCATCTAGATAGCTCACTGCCGTCGGTGCCTCTGTCTCAGACGCGCTTTCTCCTTTTCTCTCCTCCTCTGTCTGTCTGCTCGGCTGTCTTGATATTTTTGCTTTTCCACCATTCTCAGTCCTCACCTCCTCCCTGCAGCACCCCCTTCTTCCCGTCTCTCACCACCTGGGTATGTGGGGTGCTGCCCTGTCCCCCCTGCTGTGTGTGTGGGAGGACCACCCTCATGGGAGTAGGGGAGGGGCATGACCTTGGCCATGTGACCGCTGGACCCTTAGCCTCAGACCTGAGAGGACAGGCTGCTGCCCCCACCCCCCACACCTTGAGTGCGTGAACAGCTGGGCTAGGGGCCAAGTGCTGCTGTCAGCGCCTTCTCTGCCTTGGCCTCTCTGTTCCCTCCCTGGCCGCGTCAGGTCTCCACGGGTGGCAGGCAGGCAGCCCGGGATGGGGACCGGGCAGCTGACGCCCCTGGGACAGCACGATGGGAGCCTCCTCCCAACTCCGTCTGAGTCACGGGGGTGGGTCGGAGCTGGGCCCAGCCCAAGCCATCCTGGAGACCAGGAGGAAGAGGAGAGAGGGCCACAGGCAGGTCACCTTGAGGTTCAGGTGGGCAGAGCTTGGAGTGGCTGGGCTTGGGGCACGGCGGGCCTCTGTCCACCCTGGACTGTTTGGGAAGAGCTGGTGGGGGGACTAGCTCCCCTCCCACATGGGCCTCTTCTCCCATGCCCCTCCACGCTCAGCCTCTTCGCATCCTTTGGCAGGGCCTGGGCTTTCCCAAGGCTCCAGACAGCTTGGCTTTGCCCAATACCCTGGGTCTGGCTGTGGGGATGCTGGTTTGAGCAACTCAGATGTGAGGATAGGGGCTGGAGTTGCATGTAGGCACACACACGTGTAGAACACACAGAACACACATGTACTTAAACATGCCAACTATAACATAGATGGGTGCTTGCATTCTCTGGGATGTCCCCGACACACATACCTTCCTGCCCCTGCACACACAAGCACATGCCCCCGAAGCTGATGCAGAGGACGTGTGCACACGCGCCTGCCCGCCCATCCTTGACTTGTACACGTCAGCACACCCCTGCATCAGCACTCTGAGCCACCTGTGTGTGCACCTGCATACAAATGCGGTCCCCAGACATTCCCCGATGAGGAAGAGGGACTGCATTGGAGCAGACGAGGGTTCTCTGACAGGCCGGCTCGTGGATCTCTGAAGTGGCAAGCATGGAGACTCGGCCTCTTCCAGTACAACCTTGCTACCTGTGGGAGGGGAAACTGAGGCTCAGAGAGGGGTAGAACTGGCCTGGGATCCCCCAGGAGCCAGTGGCCGTGCTGGACGGGGGCCAAGGTCTCTGCAGCCCTGAGACCTTTGCATAGCACAGCCAAGGACAGAGCTGCTGTCTGCTGCCTGGGCACCCCTTCCTGCCTGGCTGCCTTGTGGTGCCCCCAAGCTGGTTCTGTAGCGACTGGGGAGGTGTGAGCCTGGCCTCAGAGGTCCAGATCATCACAGCCTCTGATGGCCTCTGACGTAGCATCAGCCTTTAGTCCAGCGGGCCATCTGGACTCCCTGTTCACCTATCACCATCCCCACCTCGGACTTCTTGTGGGATTAACCCCCGACCCCTCACCCATTTCCCTTTCCTCTGTTCCAGCCCTCTGGGGCTCAGTGCTGTAAATTGGTTTTGCTTTAATGGCAAAGGTTTAAATTTTTTTTTAAGCACTCTTCTCTTTCCTGGACTTTCCCAGGAGGAGGAGGAGGAGAGAGAGGCAGAGGTGGCTCTTGTGAACAGTCTCTGGCTTTCTGTGTCCAAACGTGGATTTCTCAGACCTCATCTTCACATCCCTGGCCCCTGCCCAGGGCAGAGGGAGGGAGAACTGGGCTGTTCCCATAGTTGAGAGCACAGGGTGGGGGCTGGGGCTGAGGTCTGTCCAAGGGGCTGTGTCCAGCTTGCTGGGCAACCTGGCCAAGTCTCCCCTGAGTCTGTGGCTCAGTTTCCCCACTTGGAAAGTGAGGGTTGATGCAGATGGTCTGCCGCTGTGACCCCCGTGGTGCCTCCCCTGCCCTTCTGCATCTTGCAAATGGGCGGCATGAGTCCCCTGCTTCTTCTCCCCCATCAAGTGGGCCAGAAAGGGACCCACTTTGTAGCTGTGGAAATAGAAGATGTTGTGGTTTACCTAGCTAATTGGGCTGAGCAGTTGTGGGGCTCCAGGCCTCCTGACATCTGACTTGGGCTCAGTGCCTTAGGAACCTTGATCCTGGTCTAGGCTGTGCTATGTTAGTTGGGGCAACTCCCTGTCCCTCTCTGGGCCTCTGACTCTCCAGCCATGGAAGGGGAGCTGGGCCTCAGCCGTGCTACTCCAGAAGGCTGGCCCCCTCCCAAGGATCAAGGTGCTCCAGGGAAGGCACTTTGGGAAGATGATACTGGGGTACCTCTGGCCTCCCAGAGTCTGGCCTTTCTTTCCCTTGGCTCTGCTCTGCCTGTGAGATGAGGTCTCCCCACGCCCTCCCACTGTGGGAGACCCCGGCTTCTGTGTCCCTCTGCTTGGGGGGCCCCACAGCTGCGATATTCTGCTCCCCCTCCCCCATGGAAGCTGAGACAAGGGAATTATTTTTGGAACAAGAGCAGTTACACAACAAATGAATTATTTATCTTTGGGCATGGAGGAAAGGAGGCATTTTGCTGGGCTTCTTAATTCTTTTTGTGGATTCAGGGGTGCCCGCTTGGGTACGTGGACACGTGTGTATGGGCCTGCTTGTCGTGTGCAGATTGTAGGTGTGCTTGTGTGTGTGTGTGTGTAGCTGTCTGCGTGTGCATGCCATGGAGGTCTGGCTCATGTGGGGGCATGTGGGTCTCTGTGCAGGTAGGGGGATGAGCATGGCCTCCAGGGTGCTGGGGGTGTGTGTCTGCACCTGTGCTCACCTGTTCTCTCCAGTGTCCCTTCTGTGCCCATGATCCTCAGTCTCTGCCCCTACTCCCCCTATTCTTCTGTCTCCCTCCGTCCCAGCCCCTGGGCCCCCTCCTGCCTCTTGCCACCCACCAACCCCCTGCTTCTTTGATGTAACAGGGACCCCCAGAGTGCTTGCTGGCACAGAGGCCCTGGGACGGGGTGTGGAGAAGGGATGGGGGGCCTGCGCTGGAGCTTGACGGGGCTGCTCTGAGCCCTCACACTGATCTGTCACCCGCTCTCGATGCTGCCTTTCAGGAACCAGGTGCAGATGGGTCTCTTCCTTCCTGCCCCCATCTCTCTCACTCCTGGCTCAGTGCGGCACTCTCCAGCCTCCTGTGGGAATCATCTGAAGTTCTGAGCCCGGAAGCCAAGGAGGAAGACGAGGAGGAGGAGGAGGAGGAGGAGGAGGAGGAGGGAGAGGAAGTCAAGCCCTGAGAACCCTTGCACCTTCCTAGCAGGAGACAAGGAGCAACGCTGCGGTGGGGAGCAGGCTGTGGGGCCCCCACCCCCAGCCCTAGCCAGGCCTAGTGCCTGCTGTAGCACCCTAGAAGATCCCCAGCAGTTGGCACTAGCTGTACCCACCTTGCCTGGGGCCCCCGTGCTGGGGGTCGCCCCCAAGATGGTGGCGGCCCCAGGGAGGACTGTACTGCCAGCCCCAGCCTCTGGCCGCTAGGCACCCCCTGCCTTGCCCTGGCCCCTCACTCCGAGGCCAGCGCCATGCTGCGCCTGGGGCTGTGCGCGGCGGCGCTGCTGTGCGTGTGCCGGCCGGGTGCCGTGCGTGCCGACTGCTGGCTCATTGAGGGCGACAAGGGCTACGTGTGGCTGGCCATCTGCAGCCAGAACCAGCCGCCCTACGAGACCATCCCGCAGCACATCAATAGCACCGTGCACGACCTGCGGCTCAACGAGAACAAGCTCAAAGCCGTGCTCTACTCCTCGCTCAACCGCTTTGGGAACCTCACCGACCTCAACCTCACCAAGAACGAGATCTCCTACATCGAGGACGGTGCCTTCCTGGGCCAGTCGAGCCTGCAGGTCCTGCAGCTGGGCTACAACAAGCTCAGCAACCTGACGGAGGGCATGCTGCGAGGCATGAGCCGCCTGCAGTTCCTCTTTGTCCAGCACAACCTCATCGAGGTGGTGACGCCCACCGCCTTCTCCGAGTGCCCGAGCCTCATCAGCATCGACCTGTCCTCCAACCGCCTCAGCCGCCTGGACGGTGCCACCTTTGCCAGCCTCGCCAGCCTGATGGTGTGTGAGCTGGCCGGCAACCCCTTCAACTGTGAGTGCGACCTCTTCGGCTTCCTGGCCTGGCTGGTGGTCTTCAACAACGTCACCAAGAACTACGACCGCCTGCAGTGTGAGTCGCCGCGGGAGTTTGCCGGCTACCCGCTGCTGGTGCCCCGGCCCTACCACAGCCTCAACGCCATCACCGTACTCCAGGCCAAGTGTCGGAATGGCTCGCTGCCCGCCCGGCCCGTGAGCCACCCCACGCCCTACTCCACCGACGCCCAGAGGGAGCCAGACGAGAACTCGGGCTTCAACCCCGACGAGATCCTTTCGGTGGAGCCGCCGGCCTCGTCCACCACGGATGCGTCGGCAGGGCCAGCCATCAAGCTGCACCACGTCACGTTCACCTCGGCCACCCTGGTGGTCATCATCCCACACCCCTACAGCAAGATGTACATCCTCGTGCAGTACAACAACAGCTACTTCTCCGACGTCATGACCCTCAAGAACAAGAAGGAGATCGTGACGCTGGACAAACTGCGGGCGCACACTGAGTACACCTTCTGCGTGACCTCGCTGCGCAACAGCCGCCGCTTCAACCACACCTGCCTGACCTTCACCACGCGGGACCCCGTCCCCGGAGACTTGGCGCCCAGCACCTCCACCACCACCCACTACATCATGACCATCCTGGGCTGCCTCTTTGGCATGGTTATCGTGCTGGGAGCCGTGTACTACTGCCTGCGCAAGCGGCGCATGCAGGAGGAGAAGCAGAAGTCTGTCAACGTCAAGAAGACCATCCTGGAGATGCGCTACGGGGCTGATGTGGATGCCGGCTCCATTGTGCACGCCGCCCAGAAGCTGGGCGAGCCTCCCGTGCTGCCCGTATCTCGCATGGCCTCCATCCCCTCCATGATCGGGGAGAAGCTGCCCACCGCCAAGGGGTTGGAGGCCGGGCTGGACACACCCAAGGTAGCCACCAAAGGCAACTATATCGAGGTGCGCACAGGCGCCGGCGGGGACGGTCTGGCTCGGCCCGAGGATGACCTCCCGGACCTCGAGAACGGCCAGGGCTCGGCTGCAGAGATCTCCACCATTGCCAAGGAGGTGGACAAGGTCAACCAGATCATTAACAACTGCATCGATGCTCTCAAGCTGGACTCGGCCTCTTTTCTGGGAGGCGGCAGCAGCAGTGGGGACCCCGAGCTGGCCTTCGAGTGCCAGTCCCTCCCTGCAGCTGCTGCCGCCTCCTCAGCCACTGGCCCCGGGGCCCTGGAGCGGCCCAGCTTCCTTTCGCCTCCCTACAAGGAGAGCTCCCACCACCCACTACAGCGCCAGCTGAGCGCCGACGCGGCCGTGACCCGCAAGACCTGCAGCGTGTCGTCCAGTGGTTCCATCAAGAGCGCCAAGGTCTTTAGCCTGGACGTGCCCGACCATCCGGCCGCCACAGGGCTGGCTAAGGGCGACTCCAAGTACATCGAGAAGGGCAGCCCCCTCAACAGCCCGCTGGACCGGCTCCCGCTGGTGCCGGCGGGCAGCGGCGGGGGCAGCGGCGGGGGCGGGGGCATCCACCACCTGGAGGTGAAGCCGGCCTACCACTGCAGCGAGCACCGGCACAGCTTTCCCGCCCTGTACTACGAGGAGGGTGCCGACAGCCTGAGCCAGCGCGTGTCCTTCCTCAAGCCGCTGACCCGCTCCAAGCGTGACTCCACCTACTCGCAGCTCTCCCCCAGACACTACTACTCAGGGTACTCCTCCAGCCCCGAGTACTCATCCGAGAGCACGCACAAGATCTGGGAGCGCTTCCGGCCCTACAAGAAGCACCACCGGGAGGAGGTGTACATGGCCGCCGGTCACGCCCTGCGCAAGAAGGTCCAGTTCGCCAAGGACGAGGATCTGCATGACATCCTTGATTACTGGAAGGGGGTCTCCGCCCAGCAGAAGCTGTGACCCCCCCCTTCCTCCCTGGTGAGGTCGGAGCCAGAGGGCTGGGGGCCTTTTGGGGGAAGGGTCCAGGCGGCCAGGGCGGGGAGCAGACTCGGGGGCCAAGGCCCAGGAGAGGACGCACATGCAGACCCGCACGCACGCACGCACACACACACCTGACCACCACCCGACTGTGAACAAACCAACATCCGACAATAACGGACAGGAAAACAGAGACACATTTTCCTTAAAGTTTACAAACTGATACCGAAACCAGTCGTCTTTACTGTGCTGCCCAGGGACTCTGCTGGGGTGTGCAGGGCCGGGGGGCTGGCGGGGGGAGGAAGGAAGCCAAGAGAGGGTGTGGGGTCTGGGGGGTCTGGGGCTAGAAACAGGTGTGGGGGTCAAGAAAGCTGGAGTAGAGAGGGACTGAAGCCCCTCTAGGGCAGGGAGAGGGTCCCTTCCCAAGCTGGGAGTCAAGTCACCTGCAGATTTAGCATTAGACATCGGGCAATGTCTCCTTCCACTTTAGAGAGGGGGGGAAACTGAGGCCCAGAGAAGGGAGTTGACAACCCCAGGGTCACACAGCAGCTTAGCCTCAAGTCCCCCAACTTCCCAGCCCAGTGCTGTCCCGGAACCCCCTGCAGCTCTCTTGTGGACCCCTGCCCGCCCTGTGCCCACCCCACATCCCTTTCCGAAGCTGTGGTCCCTTGGGGCTGAGGGACTTGGGAATCAGGCAGGTGCTTTTTCTTCCTAGAAAGCCACATGGCAGTGCCCCCAGAGTGTGCAGCTGTGATTCAGAATCCTGGGGGGCTTTTGACCCCTATGCCGGCACCCGGGAGAAGGGAGAGGGTCCTGTTGACGGGAAAGGAGCCGAGGCAGGGCGACATTCCACCAGCCCACTTCAAGTGTCTTCCACGTGGCCTGGGAAGAGTGGGGCGTGTGGCGGGCAGGCCAGCTCCCAGGACGTCTCAGGTGCAGGCTCCCGGCCCCAGCTTCTCTGGTCCTCCGAGACCCCTGCCCACCGCAGAAGGGCAGCGGTGCACTGTGATGCCTGGAGGGCTGCAGGGAGGAGCTGTCATGGGGGACTTCCTGCCTGTCCCCATGGCCTGTGTCCCCACCTGCCCGACCCCATCGTGGGATCTCGGCTCCTATCTCAGCCGCCCACCCGGGGAAGGAGGGCTTTCTCACCCATCCCCTCTGGGCTGCTCATCCAGGCCTGGCCCCCTGGCCAGAGGGGCTCCCATGTTTCCGTGGCAATGGCCACTTCCCTCTTTCTGACCCCCCCACCCAACATCAAACAAAGCACAAACAGTGAGGCCCCCACCCGAGAGAGGGTTGAGGAGCAGGCTGGGTTCGTGGCGCCCCAGCCCCTCCCAGCCAGCCTCTGTCACCATGGTAACCCTGTGCCTGGCAGTTGGTGCCCAGAGTGACCGTTGGGCTCTGGGGTTCTCTGTCCATGTAGGCGGTGGCAGAGGGTGGTGAGGGAGGGCCAGCCTGGCAGCAGCTCCTGGGGCCAGCTCTTTTGGGAGGCAAATCTGCGGTCCTGAGACTGGGGTCTTGACCAGTCAGGATGCTGATGGGCCGGAGTCCATCATCCTTCACCTCTGGGTGGGAGCTGGCCCAGCGGGGTGTGGGGACGCCTCTACTAGCAGCTTTGCCCGCCTAGCAACATGTCGCTTGGCTGCCACCCACCTCAGCTTGGGGGGCCCCGGCTCTCCCCACGCCCCTGCCAGAGACCCCCAGTCTAGGGCCTGTGGCCCACATGGGTTTCCTGAGATTTGGGGAGTGTGACTGAGGGGCGAGGGTAGGCACTGGAATGGGTCCAAGACCGGCACTGTTGGTGGGCAGGGGCTCTGACCAGGAAAGCTAGTGCCATCCCCTGGGGACCCCAACGACCTTCCTGCTGGGGGCAGGGGGTGAGGGAGGACAGCAGAGGGCTAGGAGGCTCGGGCTCAGCTGAGTACCTCTCTCACACCAACTTTGGGGTTAACGAAGCCCAGGGCTCACTTTGAGGGTGACATTTGCAAAGAAAAGACTGTTCTCCTGGGGCGAGGAGGGGAGGGGGCGGCATGGATACGCGGAGCAGACCTCCTCCCCCGGCCCCCAAAACCTGCCCCCCAACCCCTCCTCACACCCCCTTGGCACAACTGAGAAAAGCAAGCAGGCAGAGAAGCCAGGGGTGTGAGGAAGCAGACTCCCTGTTATATTTGCATGACGATTTTACTGTATTTTTCTGAGCAAACATCTGTCGTGTATGTGCCAGTTTGTCCAGACTCCCCCGCCCCCTCTCTGATGCCCTGCTTTCCCACATTCTGTCTGTTGTGATCTGACGAGCAGCTCTTGAAACCCAGGGAGGGGTCAGCTCTGCAAAAACAGACCCAAAACAGGTGCCACCAAGACACAGCCCTGCCCCACACCCACCTCCTGTGTTTCTGAGCATTGGGCCCATGTGCCACCTCCCTTCCTCCCTCCCTCTCTCCACTGCCACCTCCCTTGTCCCCAGTTCCTTCCCCTCCTCCATGCCAGGGAGGGCAGCCCCAGGGAAGCCTCCTCAAGGGCTCTTGTCCCGGTGGAAGGGACTGTCTGTCCGTCCCGCTTGTTCCCGTTTTGTAGATGAGGAAGTCAGGGCTCCCAGACGGGCCTGGTGAATTGGCTGGCCAGCTGGGGTGGAGGATCAGTCACACTGCTGAGTGTAGGAGGCCAGGAGCTTGGGGCTTCGTGGGGGGCTTCAGGGAGAGGGTGGGGGCTTTGAGAAAGGAACCCGTGGGAAGAAGGAGCACGCCTGGGCTGGGCCCCAGGGAGGGTTCCCAGCAGCAGGAGTTAGGGGCCTGCGCTTGCCATTTCCCCATCCTTTCTGCGTGAAGATATTTAGGAAACCTCAGACTCTCTGACTGCAGGGACAGGGGCCCTTCCAAAGAGCAGGACTCTGATGATCCAGGAGGGGAACTGGCCTTGAAGACCCAGTTCATGTGGTTCTTTGTGAGGCAGAGCGGGGTCTAAGACTCGGGTCTCTGGCCTCCCAGCCAGGCCAGAGCCCCAACTGCTCAGCTTGGGGAGAGCCCACCCGGAGGCTGGCCTGCATCTGTGTCCCACGTCCTGCTCAGGATGAGTTTTTCCCAGGCGGGAGGGAAGTATTCACAAAATGTTGCCATCCAAGGTCTGGGTTTGTGATGATGATGAGCATGGTGGAGCTGGGCTGTGGTCTGGGGCAGGCCAGCAGGGCAGACACCAGGAAAAGAGGGCAGGGGGGGCCACAGGGAGGGAGGGGAGATGGAGGCCCGGTGGAGCGAGGGATGTGTGGGTGCCACGCCCTGGACCTCTGCGGGGAGGCCTCCTGCCTTGGGCCGGAACAAGGTCACACCTGGGCTTGCCTGCCTCTGTTGGAGAATCTCCTCTGAAGCTGTTTCTGGGAAGTAGCACAATGGGTCTGCTCCTTCCTGGGAGGGCACAGCAGGTGCAGCTAACCCTCTGTTGGAGCTTATGGCCTTCCAGTAGCAAAACACAGAGGTCTGGCATGAAGGCAAGAAAGCCTGGTTGGTGGGGAAACCTCGTCACGGGTCCCGGCCTTGCTTTTCCCCGCGGCAGGAAGAGTCTCTCTCTGCCCACCAAAGAATCCCTCACCTGGGCTCCCCTCCTGAGGCAGTGCAGGAGGCCTGTGGGAGCAGCCTGTGTCCAGGCTGGGGAGCCCGTGTCTGGGTAGGTCTGGGAAAAGGGCTGTCAGGGGAGCGAGGAGGGTGGGAGTAAAGAGACCTGCTTGGGAAGGCCAGGCCTGGATCGTCCCCGGGAGGCAGCTGGGGCAGCAGCAGTGGGGAGTATCAGGCTGGCCGAGAGTCACCCATGTTCTCAACTGGAAGTTGGTCGCCTGCCCCACTCCCTCCTGGAAATGTAACAGCGGGGTGAACAGAAGTGCAGAGACGGAAAGGAGAGGAAAGGAGACCTAGAGCTGACAAACTCGGTTGTGACAGTGCTGAGGCCGGGATGGCATCAGGAATTAAGGACACCAGTGACAGGTCCTAGCTTATAAGGGGCCTAAGTGCAGGGAAGGGATAAGACACAATGCTCCCTAGTGACTGGCGCCTTGCAGAAAATTAAAATAGGGTGATGGGGGAGGGGCAAGGCTGGTCAGGGAGCATCCTGTGTGGGATGGGGGGACAGGGAGCCAAGCTGTGAATGACAAGAGGAGCCAGAAGGGTGGGTGGGTGGGTGGGTGTGAAGACGAGACTAGAGGGAGTGGGGTTGCAGTGGCTGCCTGTCCCCCAAGCACCGCCTCTGTCCCCTACTACCCTGCCCCTGCCCATTCCTGGCCCAGCAGAGCCCCCTTTCCATGAGTGTGGATGGGCGGGGCAAGCCGTCGGGGAGCCTGGGGAAGCTCAGCCCTGAGGGGCTTACTTTGCCCGTGGAAGCCAGTGTGAAGGTTAGGGCAGCCTTGCCTGGCTGGCCCCATTGCCACCTCTCCTGTCTGACAAGGTGGCTGCTCCAGAGGTGGCTGAGCCCCAGGAGAGGGGACCTCCTCTAACTCTCATGCTCAGATTCCATCCTGACACACTCCTTCCCTGACCCTGGGTGCCCCTTCTAAGACAAAACCAGGGTCCATACTGCTTGCCTCCAGAGGCGGCTTCAGGCCTCACTAAAGGTCAGGCAGTCCTGCTGAGCAGGAGGGAGAGGAAGGGGGTCCTGTAGGACGGGCAGGATGGTCTGGGCCTGCTCCTCCTTCCTCTGCCCCTCTGCCACTCCACACTCCAGCACAGGGCTGGGACAGGGGCTTGGAGTTCCTGCAGTGGCGGCCACACTTCCCTCCCTCCCTCCCTTCCTCAGGAGCCGCCAGTCCCCAAGTTGGCTGTGGTTGGGCACCTGGTTTGGGTCCTGCAGAGCTGGGCTCAGGCCCTGGGCTCTGAACCTGTGAACCCTTGCTGTGTTACGAAACTTTCCTTCCTCTGAGGGCCTTGAACCCTCTCCTTTTCTTCTTTTGGGGGTGGGGGTTAACTTTATTTTCTCTTCCCTGTATCTGCCTCTCCCTTCCCTCAATTTCCTGTTTTAAAACTGAATGGCACGAAATTGTTTTCCTCAACTCGGAGATTCCTGTATGGAGAGAATCAATTTCTATATTTGCAATAAATTTCTTATTTAAAGCTACGGGGCCATGGTCTATGCTGTATTCCTCCCACATTGCACTGCCATGACGCTCGGTGCCCTTTTCCCCATTTCCCTTCCCACTGGGAGCCCCAGTCATGGGGCTAAGGCTTAGTGGACAGGGTGGGGGTCACTGCCTGCGGTCAAGGAAAAAAGAAGGCGGTCTGCCAGAGAGAGGGAGAGGGGGCCAGCAGGAAACTCAATTCCAGGGTCAGTGTGCACCCAGACACTGCGCCGTCTGATGGGTTGGGGGCCTGATGACCTCCCTTCCCAAAAGCCTAGACATCCCTCTGTTGTGTGCTGTCACTCGATTTTCTGCTGCCCTGGCCTCCCACACCCGGGATTCAGAGCCCTGTCAGAGAGGCAGGGCCATGTGGGGGCATTACTAGACTTCAGCTGCTTCCCGGGAGAAAAGCCCCCCATCAGTGACCACGGTCTCTGAGGTCAGCCTCTTGCTGCCCCTGTCTATGGTGGGTCCAGTGTCTCTGTGGGACCCACTGGGCCTCCTCCACGCCTGGCCTGGGCAGCCTGTCCTGGGCCCCTGGCCCACCCCTCCTCTGGTGCCCTCCCGCCATCTGCTGCGGTTCTTCATGGCTGGGAAGCGATCCTCTCTGGTCCTTCGGGGCTTCTGCTGCTTCTCAGATTTAGGAGATGCCTTGTCTCTCTGGTCAGGCTGAGGCACTCAGGTCAGCGTCCAGTGGACTGCAGGCTGAACCGCCCAAGCCTCTGCTCGGGGCCAGTCTGGGGCCTACCTGCTAGCCCCAGCCTCCTTGCTTCCCAGAGGCAGAGCCCACCTACCATTTTCCCAGACTCTTGTTCTCCAATTGCTACGAAACTCTCCTCCACGAAAGCCTGTATTCAGCCTGGATTGCTATGGGGTATTCTGGACTCTGTGGGTCTGAGCTATTCCCTGATATCACCCTGTGGCCTTCAGCCCAGCCCTAGGTCTTCAGGAGCTGTGTCCTAGTGGCTCTGGTGGCCCACAGGGCTTTCCTGCCCCCCTGCCTGCCTCCATTAAGAGTTGGTTGTACTCTGGGGACCCTCTGGGATGGCCCAGGGCCTGGGGCCGCTCACCTTCTACTGCCTGAGCCCCAGCTGGACGCCTGTCCCTTCCACGTGCCCTCACACAGGCTCAGTGCAGCCGTCCCAAGGGGGCCACAGCCAGCCAGGGTCCCTCCTTTGCTCTGCTTCCTGCCAGTCCCAGGCCTCCTTCGTGAGGGAGGTTTCACTGTGAGCCTGCACCAAGGGAGGAGGAGGAGGACGGTGGGACACATTTGTGGGAGGCGCAGAGAGGTAGGGCCTGGGCCCTGACAGGCTCTGTCCCCTCAGGCCCCTCAGCTGGGGCTGCCCTATGGTCCCCGGACCCAACCCTGGGCTCCAGGAGCCCCTGCTCAGCTGCCTGCCTGTCGCACTGGGTCCCTGTTTTCTTCATCAGCAGGAGCTGTTTCTGTTGAAGGACTCATTCTACTCCTCAGGAAACTTAAGAGGTGATCAAAGGGGTCAACGAACCTCGAGAGTCCAAGTCCAGGCCCTTCCCCTCAGCTGCCTCTGCCGGCCTTGGGCTGGGGGAGCCCTGTGGCCCCTGGGAGTGTGGAAGTGTCCTCCGGGATGGCTTTGCTCCGGTGGGTGGAGATCCGGCAACAGTTCTTAGGCTTAGAAAGTCACTTTTATTCCCTAATGTTACAAATGCAAACACCCTTGCCTTTTCATTTCAACTCAGAAGTGATTCTGTTTCTAAACAGAGCACATTTAACATGCATGTTTTGGGGCTTTGGGCTAATTTTGGTCCTGTTTACAAATGCAATTAGGGAAATGTCCTTAGCTACTCCCCGCTTCATAAGTGTCGCGTATCTGCTTCCCTTTCTGCACACTTCAATTATTTGAAAACCGAGCAAACGCCGTGAGCCCACACATTTTCACCGGTGCTTGCATCTTAACATGTGAGCCATTACTTAAAAGAAAACCCCAATTCTGAATTAATGCCTTACTTGCAAATAATCAGTTTATTCGTAAGTGCTCAAGGACATTCGCAAATACCTGAAACGCTACACGTGCTCAGATATCGTGACACAAAATATAGATGACAAAAAGGTGAACTTTCATGGCATAAACGTGTTATTTTTTCTGGGGTGAAGGGGTGTTCCTCCATCTGTTGGACGAATGTCTCTAAGTGTGGCTGTACCTCGTGGATAATGTTGGGTTCAGGCTTCTCTGCTGGCTGGGCCCCAGGAACTGGATATTTCAGGTGGGACAAGGACCTGGGTGCTGCAAACAGGACCATAGTTGCCAGGGGCACCCCACTTTGGCACGTTCTGTGTCATGCCCTCTAAGTGGGGTGCACTTCTCAAGCCTCGCCCAAGGGCTAAACTGCTGGTATATAAGTTCTTCCTCCTTTTCCTTCCTTCTTTTTTTCCAAGATATCTGTAACTCAAACTTCACCGACCACCGGCCCTCTCCAGCCCGGGCAGGCTTCCTTCTCTAGCTTCTTTGATGTTCTTCCCCGCAGCAGGGCTCCAGGGAAGCTAGGTGTCCTCAGCACAGTTCCCTGGTCTCTGCTGGGGCTTGGTTTGAAGGAGTTGACAGTTCCAAGGTGACTCTGGTGACCCTTGTAGCTACTGGGCCAGGAACTTCCTTTTCTGTTTAGTTGTTTAGCTGAATATTCCCCTCCCTCAAGCTCCCCCTGCCTCAACAACTATAAATGTTTTCCAGAGGTGAGCCTAAAATGAGCCCTTGTGGCTGCAGGGTTTGGGGGATCACTGGATCTCACTGGTTCTCAGGGTCTCCTTTATTTAGTCTCTGAAGGCAGGGTTCCAGGCACTCAGCCCCAGGCCCAGTGTCTCAGAGGCTGGCCTCCTCCTGCTCCTGTCATTGGTGGGTCCAGGGTCACTGTGGGACCCACTGGTTCTCTCCTCTGGGCTCAGCCTGGGCAGCCTGTCCTGGACCCCTGCCCCACCTGCTCCTCTGGTGCCCTCCCACCATCTGCTGTTCATTTTTGTCACAGCCCGGAAGCATTCCTGCTCCTTCTCAGATTTAGGAGGTACCTTGTCTCTCTGGTCAGGCTGAGGCACTCAGGTCAGCATCCAGTGACCTCAGGCTGAACTGCCCAAGCCTTTGTTCGGGGGCAGCCTGGGGCCCACCGCCCAGCCCCAGCCTCCTTGCTTCCCAGAGGCAGAGCCCACCTGCCCTTTTCTCAGACTCCTGTTCTCCAACTGCTACCAACCCCTCTTCCAGGAAGGCCCCTGGATTTGGCCTGGATTGTTATGGCTTGCTTTAAATGAACTCCCTTGTCCTAAGCTATTCCCTGTGACTGGTGTCACAGCGTGGCACTCATCCCTGGCCTGTGTCTACAGGAGCTGTGTCCTGCTGGCTCTGGTGGCCCATGGGGTTTCCTGCTCCCTTCCTGCCTCCATGGGAGTTGGCTGAACTGTGGGGACCCTCTGGGATGACCCAGGGCTTGGCCCCTCACTGTTTTCCTGCCTGGGCCCCAGCTGGCCCCTGTCCCCTCTGAGTGCCCTCACACAGGCCCAGTGCAGCTGTCCCAGTGGGGCTGTGGCCAGGCCAGTCTCTCTCTTGCTCTGCACCCCCGGCTCTTTCCTGGCAGCCCTTGTGCTTCTTCCGGAGCCCCTCATCCCTGAGGCTGCCCCGTGGCCCTGTGCCTGGCCCTGAATCCCAGGCAATCCTCCCTTGCTGCCGCCACCACCCTGGCCTCCCCGAGGCTTCCATCCTATTGGTGTTGTGAGGTTAGGGTCTGCAAGCCCCTTTTTCCAGGAAAGCCTTTACTGTCTAGTCCTTGGCCAAGGGAGGCTTAGGTGATCCCTGCTGGCTCAGGTGTTTTCTTCATATTCTTCCCAGACTGTGGGGCTGGGGAATCCAATTCTGAGTTCTGCTCTTGGTCTCACTTTACCCCAATTCCCCTGGATTGCAGGTCCCATCTGCAGCTTCCTGGTCTCTGCATCTGAGGACTCCCACATGGGGAACTGGTTGGCCCCATGAGCCTCCTTCCCAAGGCCCTTTGTCTGCAAGGAAGGAGACCTGATGCTAGGTGTGCATTGGAGGTGACGGTTCTGGCCTCCCGCTGTCACTGTCTTCCCAACCCTGCACCTGTGGGTCACCCTCTGCTCCTTGTTGTCCAGGCTGCTCTCGGCCCTGCCGTTCTGGGAGCTCAGCCATTGCCCCCTCCCTCAGGCATGTGGGGACATGTCAGGAAGCTAGGGCTTTTCTGCTTTCCCCACCACTCCTGCCTGGAGGGTTTCACGGCTAGACTCCTAGGGCCCAACCTCCAGTTGAGGCCCGGGCTGCCTCTCCGGCATATGCTGGCAGCCCCTTCTCCTTCCCTAGGCCTAGGGCCCCAGCCTGCTGTCAGCGCCAAGCCCACGACACCCATTCTTACCCAGTCCCCACCCCAAATCCCCCTCTCTCTGTTGGCCTCCTCTAAAACTGCCCTCACCTGCATCTCAGACCGCGCATCTTCCGTCCTCCCCGTCCTTGCCAAACTAAGCAAGGTCACGTGTGAAGGAGTTCCCAGGGGGGTGAAACTCCTCCAGCAACTCTCGCCTCCCCTGATTTAGATAACTCCCAGAATCTGCAATGGTCTAGGGGGAGAAAACTCACTCATCTGCCCCTCTCTCTTCTCACTTACTTTTCAAACAAATTGTATGGCTCAATCCCCATATGTTAAGCACCATGGCTGTGAATTTATAGACTTCAGTCCGGTTTCTATTGCAGAGAACAGAATTCTCTGTAACTAATTTAAGCAGGAAAAAAAAATTCACAAGAGGAAACCAAGTGGTGGATGGAATTGTCAGGAGGGCTGCAGACCAGACTCAGGGGTAGCCTTTTCAAACTGACTTTTAAAATAACTACGCAGGACTGACCCACCAAGGGAGCTGCCACCTGTTTCTGCTTCATGGGGCTGCTGAGGGAATGAATCGGTACCTCGGGGGGCCCTGGGCTGCTGTTGCCAGGATCACAGCAGCTGCAGGGGTACCCCTTGGGTGCTGGCAATGGGCTGTGGACTCTCATTCTAGGGCAGGGACGATGGCGGTAGAAGCATCTCTCTGCCTCACTGCTTCCTTCCAAGGCTCTCAGAAGAGCATCTGATCTGTAGAGCCCAAACATCTGTCCTGCAGCTTTAAGAGGGTTTGGCAGGGTTGGGCTGATGCCTCACATCTGGTGTGTGGACCAGGGTGTGTTTATTTCCTCGGCAGCTCCATGAAGTAGGGGCTTTACCCCTGCTCTACACTTTGGGGGAAAGACTCAGAGACAGTAATTGGCCCAAGCAAGCACAGCATACCCAGAAGAGCTGGAAGGAGCTCTAACCCACTTTACTCCCAAACTTTGCCTGTTCCCCTGGAGGTCAGGGCCCAAAGACCCGAGTCCCAGATCGGGCATGGCCCAACGTCCCAACCTTAGGCCAGTGGAGTGTCGAGAGATGCCACCTGTACAATAATCCTGGGGCCTGTGCCGGCCCTGTCAACCCCTGCATCTCGTGTCTTGTTGCTAAAATTCTGGTTCCTGCTGAGATGTCTGCTCCAAATCTTTCCTTTAAAGATGGGAAGAATGAGCCCCCCAAAATAAGGGTTGGAAACGGGGAGAGCCTTCCTGTGGTCATAGGAAGCATGATCAGGGAAGAAGAGGTTACGTCTGGCAGTTATTTAGATTATAACCCAGAGACGGGGGGAGGAGGAGGCAGGTGGCACCAGGATTAAGGGGGTCCCTGCCACAGGGCATATATGTGAGAAGGGTCTGCTCTGACCCTCTCCTAGCCCCCTGCTCTTCCCCACGGGCTGATGAGTCTGCAGGGCCCACGGGCATTCCCAGACACTTTCCACTTGACCATGCTCCAAGCACCTGGGATGCCAGGATTGACTGTCCAGTTGGCCCCGGACATGTTTCCAAGGCCTGTCCTTCCCAGGGTGGACCGTGCCACCCATGTGGGCACTCCTAGGCATGAGAGATGACCAAGGAGTAGCTGCGTGTGGGAGGTGTAGGCAGGGCTTGAATGCGTGGGGTGGCAGTCTCTATGCATGCCTGTGAGACCCTTTAAGTTGTGAGATAGTGCTGTGGGCGAGAAGAGGGTGTCCTATGGGCCGGAGAATGGGGCTTGACTTTCCATAGGCCACCACATTTAGGGAGGCCAGGAATTTGAAATTCAAACCTGTTAGAGGTCATCGTGAAGGTACATTTGTCAAGGCAGGAGGATATTCTAACAGTTTGTTAGCTGAATGGAGAACTTTTCAGTATTTAGACACACAGGATTTGGGCTTCCCTTTGTACTCACGCCCAGGCCTAGGAAATACTAGGGATAGGCCTGGGCTCTGAGTTAATGGGGCCTGGGGGTAGAAGTCAGATGGTGTGGGATGGGCCCACTGTTTGGAGGAAAAGGCTATACATGGAGGAAAAGGGAGAGGAAGTGGTTTTGCTGTTTTGTGTCTGGGCAGGAGCAGGGTGGGCTTGGAAGGCTGCTCACAGAGGAGGGAACGACCCTGCGGGGACTGGGGAGGTGGAAGGGGAGATGGCGTCACTTGGGCCCAGGAGTTGAGTGGGGCTGGCAGGAACTTCTCCTGGGGGTGGGAGGAAGGTGGGATGGAACTGGCAACTCATGGAGGGCAGGATAAGGGGGTAGGGAGGAGGGGGGCTCAGAAAGTCACTTTACATTTGGAGTGTCTTCCTTTTGCCCTTTCCAGCTAAGTAAAAAGCATATTTTTCTCTTTACTGCTGCTCAGCAGCATCTCATGGCCCCATTGCTTTTCCTAGTTTCTTGCTCTGAGGGTCAACTCACAAGTCTTCTTCTACATGCCATGTGAGGCACCAGCCCTGGCTGGCACCTGTGGTGGGAAAGCCTAAAGGAGACAGCACCTCTGTCTCTGGGGAGCTGCCGGGATGTGGCTGTCCCTTAGCTGTTTATAACGGTCCTTTGACATGGTTCAGGTGAGGGTTAAAGGCGGGAAGTAACCCTAGGAGACAGTGGAGCCTCGAGTGGCTCAGTCCCTGCTGTAAACCCCATTCCAGAGGGCACAGTCCACCCATCACATAGCACTAGAGGGGAGCGCCGCGCTTCACTCTGCCCACTGCAGTGAGGCTTCTGGGCCATCTTGGTTCTTCATCTCCATTTTTGTTCTGCCTTGTACGAGCCTCTTCTTTGTTCTGCTTTGTTGCCTCATGGCCAGAGCTGCTCTTGCCTCCTGTTTTGTGTCTGATATTTCAGTTTCTGCAGCTCCCATTTCCTGTCTTTGGCCCCTGCTTTCCCAGCTGCTTTCGGTCTAAGGAGCTTTCTGACTTTAGGACCTGAGAGTGGAAGTCTCCCCACTGACTCCCTGTTGACAGCTGATCATCGACTCCCCTCAGTCTCACCCTGAGCTGTCCCTGTGCCAGCCGGATGGAGGTTGCTAAGCAGGGGTGGCGTGGGGTGTACAGAGGTACGTGGTCCACGGCTCTTAACTGGAGGACTTCACTGAGGGACGAGTCACCCACTGTGTGTCCGCACTGTGCTCACACACAGAGCTTCCAGTGCCACCTCACAAGAGAGCCATGAGGTAGGCATGAGGCCGTTTGAGTTCTGTTGTACTCCAATGAGGAAAAGGTACTTACTTTTACCCTCCGTGTATGGACCAGGGAACTGAGGCCCAACAAATGCTGATTAACGCAGGCAAGGGCTGGCTGCCCACTCTCCCTGACTCCAGGAGCTCATGTCCCCATCCCAGGCCTGGCTGCCTCTACACCCATAAATGCATGATGAGACACCCCAGGCCAGACTATGAACTTAGGGCTGGACTGACCACCAGGGAGTGTGGTTGAGGTGGGAGACGGAGACTCAACTCTAGACCAGATTGAAGAGTGGCTAAAACAGGAAGAGGCCCTGAAAGCACCTCTCTCCAGAAGTCATGCCCACCACCAGCACCATGAGTTTTACCTTTGTCTATAGCAATACCCGGAAGTTACTGCCCCTTTCCATGGCAATGACCTGGAAGTTACAGCTCCTTTTCTAGAAATTTCTAAATAACCTGCCCCTTAATTTGCATGTGATGAAAAGTGGGTATAAACATGACTGCAGAACTCCTCCTGAGCTGCTGCTGTCAGCACACTGCCCGTGGGGTAGCCCTGCTCTGCAGGGGCAATCACAGAGCTGTAACACTATCACCTCTGTAAAGCTGTTTCTTCCACCACCAGCTCACACTTGAATTCTTTCCTGAGCAAAGCCGAGAAACTTCTTAGGGTAGGCTCCAAGTCTGGGGCTCGTCTGCCCTGCCCCATGGTGGTCAGGCAGTACTGGGCCTTGGAGTGCTCCTCCGAACTCCAGAGCCTCAATTTCCACCTCTGTGAAATGGATTGAGCTACTCCTGCTTCACGTAGCTGTATCGAGGCACGGAAGCCTTGAGAGCTGAGGAGCGTTCATACCGTGGCCTGGCCCAGGTAGGGGCCGCTCGAGAATGTTGGCTGAATGAAGGAGGCTGCGACAGTGTTGCAGATACAGCAATGGAAGCAGATGCTTTGGTCAAAAGAAATAGACCCCATAGAGGGCCGAGAGCCAGGAAGGAGAGAGCCAGGAGAACCTCCGAGTGGGGTAAAGGAAGAGGGGAGTGGCAGGGGCCTGGCCAGGGAGGCCAGGGGAAGGCTCCCAAGAAGGACCAGGCCAGTGAGGGCAAAGCCGAGCCCCTTGTGCTGAGGGTCAGTGACAGCGACCTCACACCATCTGAGTCTTTCTGAGATCCAAACTTGGTTACTCTCCTTCCCTTCCTCATTTGGACCAGATGATTGCGTTTTACAAATTATATTTTCAATTCCCTGCCGGGTGGCCTTAATCCAGGTCTCCATCTCTCTCTTGGATTCCTGCCACAGCTGGAGACAGTCACGGAGGTGCTAAAGTGTCGACTCACTGATTCCCTACTTAGTGCACTCCCCCAAGCCCCAGGGCTTCCAATACCAACATATGGATATATGTTGGTGACTTCCAGCCCCACGTCCATCTCAGATAGCCCAGCGGCCCCCAGTCCTCCTGCTTCCTATGTAAGTGGCAGTCCCCTGCCACTCAAGCCAACATGATGGGCCGTTTTTTTGGAGCTAGTCTCCACCTTCCCCTCATCTCATACTGACTTGATCTTGACAACTCATCTCAATCTGGCTGCTCCTCTCCATGTACCCATTCCCCTTGGGGTGCAAGCCACACCACCCTTCACTTGGGGGATGATAGCAGCCAGTGGGCCCACATCTGGCTGTGCCCCTCATCTGTTAGATAATCTCACAGGCTCTTCCAGCCATGCTGAGAAGGCCCATCACCGACTCATGCCTCTGGACCTTGGCACCTGCCAGAAATGGTAGTCCCACTCCCCCTGCCAGTGATTGGCTTAGGAATGGCCACGGGACCCAGTTCCAACCAGGAAGAGGAAATGGGACGAGAAGAATGATCCTCCTTTAGAATCGGTTGTATCTAATCGGGATGCAGATGCCTGAAACTCTGCAGTTTAGGAAACACTAGGGCCCTCTCTGTGAAACATTGAGATGTCCAAGTGGAAAGAGAACAAATCCTGTATTCGAAGAAACGGTGGACCGAGGCTCGCCCCGGCGGACCTGGACCTGCGTGCCTCTGCCTTCTCATGTGAACTGATGTCTCTTGCTTGAACTCACTTGAGTAAAGGTTTTGTGCCACTTGTAGCATGTGCAGATGTAACCATCAACACGGAACTCCTACTTCCTGGAGACTGGGGGGGATTTGAACTTACTGTAGGTTCACGGAGTGACAAAGCTGTTTCTAGGGCCGATGCAGCCGTGGGCCATGTGAATAGGATCACGGGGTCTGGCCTGGGGGAGGTGAGGGTTCTGTGCTCTCCCGTACTGGCCAGACTCCACCTGGAGAGGCTATGGTCAGTCCAGGGTGAATATGCCAGGAGGGAGGTTGACCCGCCAGGTCCACCTGCTGAGAATGATAGCAATTAGAAGGGTTGGGAATCCCTGCCACGCAAGGGATGAGTGAGAAAATGGGGCTTTTTCTCCTGGCAAAGAGAAGGTTGGCTGTGGGACTTCACTTCGGCTTCAGATGCGTGCAGGGTGATGTGTGGAGGGGGTGGCCACGCTCGTGCTGCTGACCAAGAGGAAGTCGATGACAGTACAGAGTTTGTCAACAATTGAGGGCAAATTCAGACTTCAGTGGGTATCATTCTCACCCAGGGAAGTTGGTAAAAACAGAAGGGCCCAGGCCCTGTCTTTCAATAAGCCTGGGCTCCAAGTTGTTAGCACTCTAGGGGGTTCTAGGGCACCGCAACATTTTTGCAATGCCTGACTCAAGGGAAGGAAGCCAACATTTGTGAGGCATTTAACGTGAGCCACGTGTTGAGCTGGGCCCATCCCTGTGGCTCCCATTTGATTTTGACACAAATTCTTAGAGCCAAGCACTGCTACAGATGGTTTTGGGAAGTGTAGTGAGTTCCCCATAAGAAGTGTGGCTAAAAATCAGTAAGAAAAGGATGATCAGTGTGAGAGGAAAAGGAGAGTAGGAAAAGAGAATTCTTAGATGAAGCCATAAAAATGGCGAAGAAACCTATGCAAAGATACTCCTCTGTTGTGGCAGAGATCACAAGCTGTTCTCCAGTATCCACCTTCCCTTCTTCCACAGGAGCAAAACCCTTCATTTTCAGCCAGGCATGTGGTCTATTATTAAGACATTCCCCAACCTCCCGTCTAGCGTGAGGCCCCGTACTCAAGTTCTGGTCAATGAGAAGTAGCAGATTCCAGGAACCGTCCTAAAAAGGCAGCTGACAGGTGTTCCTTATTTCCTTTTTCTTTATCTTTTTCTTGTGGCTGGAATACGAGACATAATGGTTGGGGCTCCAGCAGCCCTTATGGGGCAGTGAGGAGACCTTGGGGACAGAGATCCCACATAGCAAAGTAACAAGAGGAGGGGTCTGCGTGACCAAAACCATGGAGTAGAGCTGACATGCCAGCTCTAGACTGCCGTCCTCCTGATTTTACTTAAGCAATAAATGTCTGGCTGGAGTCTCTGTTATTTGTTCCTCTGCCTATTCCTCGCTGATAACAACAGAGAAATACAAAACAAGACAATGAACTTTCCAAACTCCTGATCACTTTTCACTCATGAGATTGGCAGAAACCTAAAAAGACGATGATATTGTTAGAGACAGTGTAGTGCTGTGGTTCACATCCCTCCTGCTCTGGACTTACCAGCTGTGGGAACGTGGACAAAGTGTGTAATCCTCTGTGCCTCAGTTTCCTCACCTAAAAAATGAGTGTCAAACCCAGTACTACCCCACAGAGTCATTGTGAGGGATCAGTGTTTAGAACAGTGCCCCATGCAGAGCACACATAAGTGTCTGCCGTGACTATTACTATTTAGCTGACGTACCTGAGGTGGGTGCGCAGGTGTAGAGGAAAGACGTTCACGCCTGGCCAGGAGTGTGAAACGTAGACAGCCATTTCAGAGGGCTCTTGATGTTTCAAAACTTTCAAACTACATACAAGACTCCCCCCAAGGTGCCCCCTCTAACCCTGAAATTCCACCTCTAGGACCCTGAATCCCTTGGGGTCAAACATGTTTCAGATTTTCGGAAGGTAACTTGGCGCATATGCCCCATCCTGTGTTACTCTTCCCCGGGGTCTGGGGCTGCCCCATGCTGTAGACCCTCTGGGGTGTTCAGCCCACCTCAAGTGCAACTGGGGAATTCTGGGGAGTGAAGGCCCTTCGGGTAACCCTCAGCTGGTAGAGCCCAGGGGCAGGTGGGTAAGCGCCCAGCAGCCTCTAGTCCTTCAGAGAAGCACCCCACATTGCTCAGGAGGTCCTAGAGAAGTTGACCGCCCCCTCCTGCAGTGCCCTCTGCAGTGACCTCCGTAACGACCCTTGTATTATCTTCTCCCAACCCCCGTCTCACTCTCCCCGGTTGCTCCCTCCTGGATTCTGGTGTCACCTTCCAAAAAAACACCTGCACTCAAGTCCTGTCTCAGGCTTTGCTTTTGGGGAACTCAGCCCAAGACAACCCCCTGATGAAACACATTATTTCTTCAGCAAGCTGCACACATATCACAGCAAGTGGGAGAAACAAAAGACGCTGAACACTCTCACGTCAATTTGGGTCAGGTTTGCTGGCAAATAGGTAGAAGAAAAGACGTATGGTTCTGGGAGCATTTGGGTTTCATGGCTGTGGATATGGGACTGGACTGCACTCTGCGGAGCACAAAGGCAACCTCTCTTGCTGAGTTCACTCGGTGTGAGTGGAGAGGCTCCCCCGGCCACGGACTGCACTCAGAAGGCCTGAGACCACAGCAGTCACCAGGAGTTGGGCCCTCCAGGAGCTGATACTTGAGTGTAGAAGATGTCTGCTGGGGCTCCTGGCAACACTTGGGAAGGGAGCCCTTTGGGTGGGGAGACAAGGCCACAATCGATGGGTGCTCAGGGATGGCCCCGCTGCAGAGGTGAGGTCTGAGAAGGGACTTGACAATGAGAGGAAGCCTAGGACGCCAGCACCACCTCCACCTCGCCACCACGGCAGGTGCTCCTGATGGGTCTCAGGGCGAGCGCACCCTCTGCCAGTGACAGGTCAGGTGTGGGCTGTGACCAGTCTCAGCCAATGAGACATCAGGGAGGGCCCGCAGGTGGCCTCGGGCCCGGCCAGCCTGGATGCTGAGGCCGACCTATGAGGCTGACTCGAGGTGGGGAAGAGCAGAACAGGCAAACGGCCAGTGCTCACCCTGCTCCCTGCCAGGCAGCACTGTGGATGGGCTTGTGGCCCACGTGAGACTGAGCAGGGATTTCTGTCACTTGCGGCAGAAAACCTCCCACTGGCTAGCAAGCACCTGGTCCATCCCAAGGGACAGACTGACAGGCTATGGCTTGTCCCCATCATGGAACACAGCAGAGCGCCGAAAAGAAAGAGGGGGTATCCTCCCGTCCTGAAAAGGAACCAGCGACGAGAGATGTCATCTGTTCTCAACCAGGGGTAATTTTGCTCCCTAGGTAGGTTGCCAGGTTAAGGAAATAAAAATGCAGGGCAGCCAGTTCAAGCTGAATTTCAGACCGTGCATGTTAACTAGATGTCCTGTATTTACTGTGGCAACCTTACCCCCAGGGGACATTTGGCAATGTCTGGAGGCAGTTTTGGTTGTCACTGGGGATGGTTAGGTGCTACCAGCATCTGGTGGGAAGGCACCGGGGGTGCTTTTAAACATTTCACAATGCATAGGACAGCTGAGGCCAAAAAAAAAAAAAAAAATTATCCAGCCTAAAATGTCAGTTGTAACAAGGGTGAGAACCCCTGTATTAAATGAAAGATAGCAAAAACCCCATAAGAACCCCATAAGATATGGTAGGATCTCATTTGTACGTCCTGTATTTACTCTGGCAACCCTACCCCCAGGGGACATTTGGCAATGTCTGGGGTTGTTACTGCGGATGGGGTTGTGTGTGTGTGTGTTTCTTTTTTTCTTTTTACACACCCAACTAAGCCATAGAATCGCATAGAAAAAGGTATGGAAGGTCACATACCTAAGTCATGTGGGGTAGGGAGTGGTCATTCCTTTTACTCTAAATACCTTCTGCAGTGTTTTATTATTTGTGAAGTTAATTATAACTGAAGTGAATATATACGTGTATACACACACACACAGAAAGCATGCCTATCAAAACAATAGATATTTCACAAAGTGAACACACCCATGGCATGGCCTCCTGATGAAGATGAAGAACATGGCCACTGCTCCATGAGGCCCTTTGCAGTCCTGCCAGCCTCTCCCTCGAGGGCTGCGAGGGGAACTGCTGTCCTGACTTCCAACCTGCTTTGGGCTCCACATGAACCGAATTCTGCCCGACGTCCTCGCTTGAGACTGGCGTCTTTCCCTCAGCAACGTGTCATGATTCATTCATGTGGATCGGAGCAGCGGTTGGATCATTTTCATTGCTGTGAAATACACCACAATGGATTTATGCATTCAACCGTTGATGGACATTTGGGTCGTTTCCCGTTTGGCAAGATGATGAAGAAAGCTGGTATGAGCATTCTTTCACACGTCTTTTCTTGGGCATATGTACTCACTCCTGTTGAGTGTAAACCTAGGAATGAATCGCTCAGTCATAGGGCAAATGTGTGTTCCTCTTTCCTAGATACCATTCGAGTTCCCAAAGTGCTTGCACGGGTTTACGCTGCCATCCACCAGAGATGAAAGTTCCGCCTGGGCTGCTGCCTCCTGGCCAAGCCTGGCTGGGTTGTAGCTTTTGCGCTTTAGTCCCTCTGGTGGGTGTGTAAATTGCTAATCACTGTGATTTTAATTCGCATTTCCCTGATGATGAAGCTGAGCACTTTTTCATAACTTTATGGGCCATTTGATTGTCCTCTTTTGTGAAATGCCTATTCGGGCCATTGGTCCATTTTTCCATGAGGTTATCTCCGTTTCTCTCATTGATTTGTAATTAAGAGTCCTGTTGCAAATCTCTTTTCCCGCTGTGCGGCTTCTTGCCTTTTCCTTCGCTTACAACGCTCCATGCTGTCCTGGACCCTAGCATCACCCAGGCCTAGGTAATAGAAGGGTGGCTTTTGTAAAGCGACTCAAGGCTGAGAAGGGAACAGACACTCTTAGCACAATAAGCTACAGGCTGAAAAACAGCCGGAGGTGAATCTTTGCAGCGTGAATGGTCTGGCTGTCTTTTATAAAAGTAACTCGATTGGACTAGACCCCATGAGGGACTCTGCTCCTCCGCTCCCCTTTCCCTGAGGACCTAATTCCCCACTGGGTCAGCCGCAGAACCAGATAGAGCTGGGGACTCACGACCCGTGCTGACGACTGGATGCAAGAGGAGGAAGGACTTTGGTGGAGAGAAGGAATCAAAAGGAACCAAGGTACGCAGCTGGGGGCAGGGGAGGTGAGAACATGGGAGAGGGTTCTGGGAAGGGGCTTACTGCTGTCATGGGCAGGACACATTGAGTAGACCCCTTCCTGTGGTCTCTGTGTAGGCCAGAGCCACTTCTCTGCCTTTCTATGCAGCCATTTTGCCCCTTGCCTGAATCACTGTAGCATCCTCTTAACTGGCCTGCCTGCTTCAGCTCTGGCCATCCTCCACCCCGACCTGTGCCCAGCAGCCAGAAGTAGCAAGATCGTTAAAAACGAACATCAGAGTGCATTTCTCCCACAAAGCCTCCAGTGGCTACTTCTTGCATTTAGAATGCATCACAAACTCCTTCCAGGAGTGCCCATCCAGGCAGGATGTGATCTGGGTGTGACAGCCTCCCCTGCCACTTTCCTGCCCCAGCCACACTGGCCACATGTTGCTCAAACAACCACACGTGTTCCAGCCTCAGGGCCTTTGCACTTACCGCCGCCTCCATCTAGAATGGTATATATACCCCAACTTTGCCACGCCAGCTTCTTATCATTTTGGGCGCATCTCAGGGTCACCTCCCCTGTGGTGTCTTCCCTGAGCCCTCCTATATGGCCTTACCCTGGGTCAGCATCCCCTCACTCTGTTTTCTTTCCTTCATGACACTGGCCACTCTGAAATGAGCTATTTTTCTATTTTGTTTGCAGAATGTGAGACAAGAGGACTTGCTGGTGGGGTCCCCTGCTGTGTCCCCAGAGTCCCAGCATGTGCCTGACACACAGCAGGTGCCTGATTGATAGTGACGGTTCCCCAAAGGCTGCTGGAGTCACCTCTGGGATTCTGCACAGGCTCCACCCTCTGGGGAGGTGTGCTTGGTAGAGGACACGAAGGCTGCTTGTTGGGGTTACCTTAGTACCTGGGTGAAGAGTAAAAAGTAATTAATAATAACGAAAGAAAACGATTGAGTTGGGTGAACCATCGGCGTCCTTGAACCTTGCGGACTTATGGCACCCATAGGGTAGGGCATGGGGTCTGGGAGTGAGGAGCGTGTACCTTTCACTTCCAGAGAGGCACCTTCTTGGGCTACCTGGGATGAGGCCAGGTGGTGCTGGTGGCCAGGACGTAGGTTACCTGAATGCCCACGAGTCCTGGGTGGCTGCCAGCTCCGAGTTGGGCAGCCCAGTCTACTCGGGGGCCAGGCAGGCGCAAAGATGAGTGAGGCAGCTCCTGCAACAGAACAGGAAGGAGAGAATCTGCTAGAAACTGGAATGCTAATGCCCTGGCCCAGAGCCATTCCCAGTGAAAATAAAATAAGATTTGAAATGGGGCCGCCACCAGAGCAGGTCAGGAGTGACCCCGCGGCAGCCCTCTGTGTTGGCTGGAAAGCTGACAGGTCTGGGGGCCACACAGTCTGAGCGGGAAGGGCTCGGAGGTGGAGCCTCACTTCACAGGTAAACTGAGGCCTTGAAAGGGGGCCTGGCCAGCACGCAGGTCTCGAGTCCCAGCCCAGTGCTCTTTTCTCCAAGCCTTGAACTTTGGGATGGTCAGAAGTCGAGAGGGTGGGGGGGACGCTGGAGCATGGGGAAGGGGCAGAGTGAGAGGAGTTTTGGGGCAGTGAGAGGAGGCTGCAGGCCTGGCAGGATGAGAGCAGTGGGAGGGTGCCCCCACTGGAGGAGTCAATGCCAGCACCCAGCACCTGTCACTCGAGGAGAGGTGAGGGAGGTGGAGAAGGGCAGGGCTAGGGCATTAGGATTCCAGACAGCTCTGGACACCCAATTTTCCAGCTGGGTGCCCTAGCCTGCTCTCTGAGCCTCCTGCCAGAGCCAGTCTAATTGACAGGGAGAGAGGAAGCTCCTGGGGTGGGGGCAGGAGAGGAGAGGAGTGAGGGACTAGAGAACAAGGAGAAGACAGTGAGGAGGAGGGAGAGAAGAGAGAAGAGGGAGAGGAAGAGATGGGAGAAGGACTGGGAGGAGAGAGGGGAGAAGGAGGAGAGGAGGGAGGAGGGAGGAGAGGAGGCAGGCAGGTGGGCACTTAGCCCAGGGGACCGCAAGGGAGGAGGGTTGGCTGGCTGATTGCAGCTGGAAGGGAATCAAGAAATGGCACCCCTCATTTAAAAGAGGAGGAACCGGGCCTGGAGAGGAGAAGCCATGTACCCGGGGTCCCGCGGCCCACTGAGGCAGGGGCAGGATTAGAGGGCAGAGCTTGGTTTCCTGACTCCCAGGCGGGGGAAGGAGATGGAATGGGTCAGGGGGTAAGGGTGGAGGAGTCCTGAGAGGGGAGGGCCCCTCCGAGGCTGATGGAGGTGGGGTGAAAGGAGACTGCCTGGAGGCCTCGGGTCTTGGAGAAGCACCACCTTGCCTGTCCCGCCTCCCAGCGGCCCCTCTCGGTGGCTGCCCACAGCCAGCGTGGAGCAGGGATACCTGGCACTCCTGACACAATTCTGCCAGAGCTGCCGCCCCCACCCTGGGGTGCTGATGGGAGTAATCAGCGCTAATGACAGTACTGGGGGCTCTGGGGTCACACACGCTCTCAGCCTCCAGGGGACCAGGCCCGGGGAGGGGAAAGGAGCTGGCGGGTGGGCCTAGGGCCCTGCGGTGGGGAGGCAGGGAAAGAGGGGATAGGGCCTGCGGCTGTCTCTAAAGCCTCCTCAGCAATGTGGGATCAGTAGTGGGCCTGAGTGAGTGGGTCCCTCCCCTCACCCCCTGGGTGGCCAGAGCTCACTGAGGCCACCGAGTCCCCTGCAGCCGCCCGACAGTGTCTGCTCAGTCAGCTGCACACTGCGTACCAGAGGGACCTTCTCAGGCTGCAAACTCAAGTGGCAGAAATGGAACTTCTTTTGCCTCCAGGAACAAAACTGAATCATTTCCTTGGCTCCCACCCGTTCTTGCCATTTATGCTGCTACCTGGCCCCTTCTAGACAAACTGTAGACAAACTCGGCCCACATGGGGGTTTCGCCGTTGCATCAGGTTCTCCTTGGACCCGCTCACTCCTGGGCGTCTGTGAGGCCAGCTGTGGGGTTCCCTTCTCCGACAAGGGCGTCTCTGGGTGCTGTGTCCTTTGAGCCAGCAGCCCTCTGCGTACCACAGCCCAGGCAGCCTCACACCCCGTCCCCACTGCCCGCCAGGACCAGGTGCTGCTGTGGGCGCGCACCACTCCTCACTGCCTTGGCTCTCCGATCTCATGGGGAGCATCCCTCAGGAACAGGAGCCTCGTGCCCACTTACCTCTTGACTGTCCTCAGGGAACGCTGGCTTTTGGGCCTTCTGTGCCCAGGGGTTGGCTGGAATCTCCTTTCAATGTTGCTCTCTCTGACACAAGTTTCAAATTTTTATTTCAAAATTCAAAAGCTGAGCCTTAACTTCCGTGGGCACAACCCCATCTTGAAAGCAGAAGCTGGAATGTCCTGGGCTGGAGGTGTAAGATGATGGTGGTGAGGGTAGGATGTAAACCACGGTGTGGGCTGATGAGTGTGCCCTGCAAGGCCCCACCTGCACCCCCACCCCACCACCCAGTGCCTTCTCTGAAGGGCAGGGCAGGAGGAGGAAGGGGCTGGCAGATCTGATGTCCCTGGGGTAGGAGGGGCTGCAAAGGGGGTCCCCGTGCTGGGGCTTACCCTGTGCCAGGCTGGAGATTGGAGTGTGTGGCTGTAGGAGGGAGCAGACGCTGGAGGTGGGTGTGGGCAGGGCCCCTGGGGGGCCTCTCAGGAACCTCCAAACATCCTTGAGAAGTAGGCCGGGCTGCCCCAAACTGGGGCAGGTGCAGGGAATCTGGGCCGGGGGCACCGTGGATCCCCAGGGCTGGGCCTTGTGCACGGGTGCCTCTCTTCTACCTGCCCCTGTGGGGAGAGTCCAGGGCAGGGCCACCAGGCCACCCTCATCCCATTGGCCTCTGGTTCTCACAAGCACCCAGTCCTATGCCACCTCCGGACTGCACGACAGCTAAGTGGCGGGGCTGGGATCTGCACCCAGGCCTCCTGGTGCCGGGGCTTGGCCCCTTTCCGGGTGTATCACATTGCCGTGGGGAGCGGGCACCCAGGACTGCCCATCAGAGTCAACCGGCCCAGCCCAGGCTAGCGCGTGGCATGCAGAAGAGATGCTCTGTAGCGATCTGTGGGCTGCCCTGCTGACATGAAAAGCGCCCAGCATGCACTAAACGCTCAGCAGATGGGAAACCAGCCTGTGGGTAAATGTGTAAGACGGGTAGACGCAGACCTCCCCAGGCCCCAGGGCTCACTTCCTATCTCATCTCCTCCAGGAAGCCTCCCATGATGCCACCTCCACCAAGCCATCATATTTATGATTTTCTCCCGACCCCTCATGCTCTGCTGCCCTGCTGGCAGCGTCCGGCTGACCTCCATGTCCTCTCCCACCTTCCCCCTCCCCAGGTCCCTCTCGGGTGGCACATTCCTCAGATAGGACACAGATTGGTGGGCCCCGGGAGCTGAGGACAGAGAGAGGGAAGGGAAGCCCCTGAGTGTCCTTCCTGGGACAGCCCATTCTTCAGGAGAGAGAGACCCAGACCATGGGGAAGAGTGTGGGACAGGAGCCCTGCCCCGAGGTCTGATCTGGCCCGGGGCTGGGCCTCACCTTCCGGACCTTGCTTTTCCCTGCAAGGCCATGGGACTGACCAGCTCGGAGACACTCCAGGAAGGCCACCCCTCCCTGATCTGGGGCCCTGTGCCCACCTCAGCCTCGTTTCTCCTCCTTTCATGTCTCAGGAAGTCCTCAGCCCTTCCCTGCCCCCTAACACAGGGTTGTTTCTCAACCCCACAGCCACGCCTGTCTCCACTGAGCCTGGAAGCCCCTTGCTAAGACTTCTGTGAGAAGGAGGCCCTGTTCTTGCTCTCTGCACAGTGCCCCTCACCTGGCACCCCTAGCCCCCAAGGGTGTCCTCCCCCAAGAAGATGGGCCCTGCTCTCCTCCTTCCCCAGCATGAAGGCCAAATGCCTCATACATGAGCGCACGTGTCTGTGAACTTCCAGCCTCAACGTGGCCCACACTGGCCTCTGCCAATAGACTTGGAATGAGGAGGGCATCCCAATTGGGCCCCTGAGGTTGAGGACAGCCAGAAGAGGAGAAGGCTTAGAGCCCCAAGGCAGAGACCCAAGACCTAAGGTGGGAGAATCCCCAGGGGTAGAGTTCAGCTCAGCAGAACGAGGGACTCCCACCTTCACAAGAGATCAGAGATGGGCAGGTGGGCGCGAGCTCCCCAGCCCTGGAGGTGTGCAAGTACAGGCTGAAGAGCTGTAGGCAAGGATACTGTAAAGGGGTTCAAATATCAGAGGGGTTGAACTAGATGGAATTTAGGGCCTGTTCTGTCCTCCAATCCAAGGAATCTGGGGGTTCCCTGCCTTAGTATGTCAGACATTATGACTTTCCCAGGGGGCCCATCTTCATAGTGAACTCTTAAAAATCTTCCAGGTACAAAAGAATGAACTGATAATGAGAGACTGCAGCCACTGATTGTGTGTGTGTGTGTGTGTGTGTGTGTGTGTGTGTGTGTGTGTTCTGCCACCCACCACCTATACAATCTTGTGTGAGTCCCTCAACCTCTTGGGGCAGTGTGTTTATCTATGACATGGAGGGTGCGGCTGCAGGCCCCAGGTACATTCCCAGCAGCTGCCCATCCTGTCAGGGGCTGCTGGGGCAGAAGTGACATGGAATGCAGAGGTGCTTCCACGGCCAGAGGTGTGGGTGGTTCTGTCCGTGGTTTTGGATGTGATTATTGTCCAGCCAGGTAATCGGGAGCTTGTGAAGCTTCTTGAGCGAGGCAGTAATGTCTGACTATGAATACCTGCAGCTTCAGATTTGGAAAGGACCTTTGGAATAGCAGCAGAAGTCAAGCCCTCCAGGAAATAATGAAGATGGGAGGCCAGGCGTGGTGGCTCACACCTGTAATCCCAGCACGTTGGGAGGCCGAGGCGGGCGGATCACCTGAGGTCAGGAGTTCGAGACCAGCCTGGCCAACATGTTGAAACCCCCATCTCTACTAAAAATACAAAATTAGCTGGGCGTAATGGCGCACACCTGAAATCCCAGCTACTCGGGAGGCTGAGGCAGGAGAATCACTTGAACCGGGGGGGCAGAGGTTGCAGTGAGCTGAGATCATGCCATTGCACTCCAGCCTGGGCAGCAGGAGTAAAACTCCATCTCAAAAAAAAAAATAATAATGAAGATGGGGTTATTCCAAGAGCAAGATACATTAGGGTGTGGGACAGAGACAGAGAGCTGGGGGTGGAGAGAGTCCAGCCACGCCCTGTCTCTGCACTGCTGAGGGGACTGGGGGCTGGTGGCATCCACGGTGTTTCACTGAGGGCTGTGTGTGTGTATGTCTTGGTGTGTACAGTCTGCGTGCATGTGTGTGTTTTGCAACGTGTGTGTACGGTTGTGTGCTGCATGTGGTGTGCACATGTGTGTGTCATACAGGAGCCGTGCCTCTCCGTGTGCACCTGTTTTCTGCTGTCACACCAAGAGAATGAACACAGGCCCCTAGCTTCCAGCCAAGGGCAGAGGAATTCTTTATTTCCATGGCCTTCCCCAGTGATTAAGTCTCCAAACTTTTCCTCCACCATCATTTCTTCAAAATGAAAAACCAAATTGTATCTCCAAACTGCTTGGAAATCGATTTCTTTCAGAATGAACTTTTGCAGAAGCGGTTTCAAGGAGAAATAAGAGGAGGAAGACAGGAGGGGTGTGTAGGGTGGGGACAGAGCAGCTGCCAGGGCCACCCAGGGCCTGGGTTGGGAGGGAAGGAGGGGTGGGGTAGGAGGTGCTGGAGACTGGAGGGCACTCTGGACTCTGGGGCGGGGGAACCTGCTTCAGCCTCACCCCACCTGCTCCGGCCAGGGCCCTCAATGCCAGCCCTTCCTGGGGCCTGGTCTGGGAGGCTTGGGGAAGTGCCCAGTGTGCGCACAGGCCGGAGCTTCTCCAGGGCAGAACAATAATAGAGTTTCAACTATAAACCCAGGCGTGATGTGGCCGCCAAGTTTTGAGCCAGGCACTGGGCCAAGTGCTTTTCCCGAATTATCTCCCTTAATTCTCACATCAACCTCAAGCCGGTGTTATCATCCCGTCCTAATGACGAAGAAACCAAGCATCTGTGGCCCAGAGAGGTTAGTGAGCGTTTTTGAGAGGATGGTGGAGAGGATTCCAGGCGAGGGTGGATGGGAAGTGCTCAGAACCACATCTGGGGGTGGTTTGGGATCAGCAGATGTCAGGGCC